>NC_000010.11:7737272-7888787 GCF_000001405.40 Homo sapiens | reverse complement strand
GCTAATGACAAGCAGGGGCCAGGAACAGATGCGAAAGCTCTGTCACTGTCTTCTTGGTCAACTGTCTTGCATTATAATTAGTATAGTATATTCGACCAAAAGCTTTTAGGCTAGCATCTTTTAAAGACCCTTTTCCATTTGGTGAGGGCACTTACATAACCTGTAAATGCACCTAACTGGGCATGGATAAACTGTTACACATCACTGTAGACTGAAAGCAAACCAATGAGTGAATGAGCCCTGTCAACCCTCCACACTGCAGACCTCCACATCTTCTTTAGAAGATCTCATGCCTGTGATACGACCTGAGCCTATTACTAATTAAGGGGTGTCAATGTTTAAATGTATCAAAAGTAAATGAATTAATGTATCAAAATATTCAAGAAACTTTTTTTTTATAAATTTAGATAAAAATAAATAGAAGTTAAACACTTTCTCCACTGTCTCAATGAATCATATTATGTGCATCACTCTGGAAACCATTGTTGAAAAGGTTAGAGTGAGGAAAGCTTAGGAAGGTTAAGGAGTAAAGAAGCAAAAAAATGTGCTTGGACAGTGTTTTAGGAGGCTTGGTTGTAAAACAAGGAAGGGGTGTAGATCCTGGCCTAGAGGAAGACAGCGTTCAGGAAAAACTTTAAACGTTTCATATGGGAGAGATCTGAGTGTGCTTGCAGGCGACAAGAATGAGCCAGTGGAGAGAAAGAGCTGGGGATGAGAGTTGACGGCTGGCTGCAGAGCAAGGGAACCTAAGCTGGACAGATGGGTGACATTCACCACAATGGCGGTGGTGGCAGGGGCACTTTAAATATGAATTCAAGGGCTTGGAAAGTTCCATTAAAAAAGTTCCTCGACTTATTCTGATATTGCTGGTCTGTGGATTGGAGCTGGAATCCCTGGCCTGGAGCTCAGAAAAGCTTCCAATGCTTCACTTTTCCAATTCTATAATTTGTTTTGGTGTTTTTTTTTTTAAGTGGCCAATTAAAATTATAAAGGATTTTAATAAACCAAAAGGTATAACCAGGGATCTTCTTCTCTATCCTTAACTTTCCTTTATCCCCCCCGATTTTAGCTTGGATTGAAGCCTTTTCTTGAGGTTTGTTCTCAGACTTCAGATGATTCAGCATCAAAACACTCCCAGCGGCTCTTATCTGTTTTAGTCCCAGGCAGTCAATTCATCTTGCCTAAACAGTTCACACTTATCACTAGGAAAGTCTTATGTTGCATTTTCATCTACTCTGCTCTCTCATCTCCGGCTTCCTTTCCCTAAAAGCAGCAGAAGTGGGGAAAGAAAAAGAAAAGAAACAGAGAAAAAGAGAGAAGAGCTACATCCGGAGTCTCTCGATGGTAAGGATAAAGCCTTTCTTGACTCTTTGCAATCACAAAAAGTTCTTTCCACACTTGCAAAAATTTCCTAAGCAACATTTCAAGCTGGGTTCACAGGTCAACGATTGTACACAACAACCCCTTCAACTACAGCATCAGTTCATAAACTGCTTTAGATTCAGTTTTCCTCATCATTTCCTTAACCAGCTTTCTTTCTTTTTTTTTTTTTTTTAAATACAGAGTCTGGCTCTGTCACCCAGGCAGGAGTGCAGTGGTGCGATCTCGGCTCACTGCAAGCTCCACCTCCCGGGTTCAAGCAATTCTCTGCCTGTCTCCCGAGTAGCTGGGACTACAGGTGCCTGCCACCACGCCCGGCTAATTTTTTTTATTTTTAGTAGAGACGAGGTTTCACCATGTTAGCCAGGATGGTCTCAGGCTCCTGACCTCGTGATCCGCCTGCCTCAGCCTCCCAAAGTGCTGGGATTACAGGTGTAAGCCACCGTGCCTGGCCCTCTTAACTAGCTCTTATCACTTAAATATAAAAGATAACATTTCAAATAAAATTTAAAGATACTCTTAGAGATGGTATTTAAAATTTTTCCAATTCAAGATTAGTCTATATTTTTTCTATTAATTTTGTAAGCATAAGTTTTGCTTCCTGAATAAGGCTTACACAAGTACAGAAATACGAAAGTGCATCTCTCTTGAAGGCAGAGGTCATGTTATAAGTGTTGAGGTTAAAATGCGTATTAGGAGTAAGGTGTGCAAATGGGAAGGGACTTACTATTTACTGGATGTCAGCTATGTGCTATGATGTATATATGTTATTTCACTTAGTTTTTACACTAACCCCATGAGATATTATTACCCTCATCTAACTGATAAAGAAATTTCAGATCACAGGTCTTCACAATGTCATATAGCCACAACGTGGCAAAGCTAGAATTTTTAAGCCAGGTCTATAAATGCAAAAACCAAACTTTTCTTTGGTTATTATATATTTTGTGTAAAGAAAAAAATAGTTACATATTCATGATTAAAAAATAAAGGCAAATATGGAAGAATTGTAATAAAGGACAGAGGTGAGAGAAAGAAAGAAAATGAAGAACATGCAGAAGGGGGTTTGGAGAAGGACCAGGTCATGCCAGTCCTTCAGAAGGGAATGAAACACTTGGTAAACATTAGGGAGCGGCTGGTTATGTCTAATGTGGCTGACTCATCTCAAAGTGTCAACAGGGCCAGGTGTGGTGTCTTACACCTGTAAACCCAGCACTTCGGGAGGCCAAAGCAGGAGGATCACTTGAACCAAGGAGTTTGAGACCAGCCCAGGCAACATAGTGAGACCCCCCCACATCTCTACAAAAAACAATTAGCCAGACATGGTGGTGGACCCCTGTAGTCCCAGCTACTTGGGAGGCTGACGCAGGAGGATCACTTGGGCCCAGGAGGTTGAGGCTGTAGTGAGCCATCGTCGCGCCACTACACACCAGCCTGGGGAACAGATTGAGACTGTCTCAAAAAACGTAATTAAAAAAAAGTATCAACAGAGGAAGATGTGGCCCAAATGGGATTCTCCAAACTTAAAACCCTAAAAACAGGTAATCAAAAATAATAACATGAAGGCAAGCACCCACAAAGAGTGATGGGTCAGCTCAAGGAGCCTCCATTTAGAGAAAAGATGGTGGTGAAACTAAGGCATTAGCTGACAGGAGAGAACATGTGTGTGTTTATCCCTGTAAGGAAGAAAGGTTGATTATTTGGGAGATAATGAAGACTGTGTGGAAAGTAACAAAAAGGCACAGAAAGAAGCATTTGAATTAGAAACATGGATAATTGAATATAGATGCAAAGGAGAAAATAAATCTGAAAGAGACAGGAAGGATAAAGCAGAAACTAATGAGACTGGTTGCCTACAGCAGTGGATGGGGCCAAGTGGAAAGGATTCGGTGAGGAGGGAAATGGGGCAGACAAAATGCAGGAGCAACACTTCTCTGAATATACCTTTTTTGTATAATTCTGACTTTTTTGGAGCCATATTAATATTTTACATAAGAAAACTCAAGCATGAGAGGAAAGCCTAAAAAAGAAATATAAATGGAAATAAACGAATCTAACTATATTTCAAATAAATAACCTCACTAACTACACTGGGGGTAGGGGAAGGAATTAGTCACTTTGTGTGTGTGTGGGGGTGTGTGTGTGTGTGTGTGTGTGTCAAAATTTATATAACATAAAATTTGCTATTTAAAATATTTTTAAGTATGCAATTCAGTGGCTTGATTATTTTCACACTGTCATGCAACCATCACCACTATCTATTTTCAGAACTTTTCATCAACCCAAACAGACACTCTGTAGCCACTAAGCAATTACTCCCCATACTCCATTCCCCACCCTCAGCCCTTCCAAGTATCTTGTGAACACAAAGTTTTGACTATATACTTTCAAACTACAAATTAAAAAAAAAAAACTGAACAAAAATTAAACTCCAGATATATTGGTATGGGTTAGCAATTCTGAAACTGTTTTCTGTATATTCTAGAATTACACAGATAGTGAGCTGTATGATATTAAATCAGAACTGGAATTATTAATATGAAATCATGCTTTTAATACATATGGAAATATTATTATGGAAATAGACATAGATGTATGTATGGATATGGATAAATGCACCCTAGCTCTGCTAAGGTGAACTAAAAGCAATGACATTGTAATAGCAATGACCAGTCCTAGTGCCCTGGATTCTAGACTCTATTCTTCAAAAAAAGGAGGCAGGCCAGGCGCAGCGGCGCACGCCTGTAATCCCAGCACTTTTGGAGGCCGAGGCAGGTGGATCACCTGAGGTCAGGAGTTTGAGACCAGCCCGGCCAACACGATGAAACCCCATCTCTACTAAAAAATACAAAAATTAGCCAGGCATGGTGGCGGGCGCCTATAATCCTAGCTACTCGGGAGGCTGAGACAGGAGAATCGCCTGAACCCAGGAGGCAGAGGTTGCAGTGAGCCGAGATGGCACCACTGTACTCCAACCTGGGCAACAAAAGCAAAACTCCATCTCAAAAAAAAAAAGGAGGCAGAGCTCTTTGGAGAAACGGCTGCTTCCAGGGCTAAAGCTGGAAGTACAAGAAGAGCCTAGATCATCTTCTTGGGCCAGAAAGTAAGGGACTGTCCAAAGAACAATGACAACATGCCTAAGGACATAGGAGGGAGCTTGAGGGGCTCCCAGGGGCCAAACCGGGTACAGCTGAAGCAGTGAAATAAATAATAACAGTAAAGGAGTATGCTACGGTTTGAATGTTTGCCTCCTCCAAAACTCATGTCGAAACCCAGTCCCCAGTGTGGCAGTATTGAGAGGCGGGGCAGTTGACAAGTGACTGGGTCATGAGGGGTCTGCTCCTGTCACTGGGTTAATCCACTCACAGATGGATGGGTTATCATGGGAGTGGGACTGGTGGCTTTCTAAGAAGACGAGGGTCCTGGGCAAGCATGTTAGCATGCTCAGCCCCTTGCCATGTGATGCCCTGCGTTGCCTGGTGACTCTGAGAGTCCCCTCTCCCCGCCAGCAAGAAGGCTCTCACTAGATGTAGCCCCTCTACCTTGTACTTCCCAACTGCCATAACCATAAGAGATAAATTCCTTTCTTTATAAATTACCCAGGTATTCTAAGCAACAGAAAATGGACTAAGAGTATAATATACTGAGTAAAATAAGTGTCTGCGGATATCAATACATGAATAAATAAGTGGGAAGGAGGGGAAAATCTTCCATAGAGTAGAATGCCAACTGATAAATGTAGAAGGAAGAATGGAATTAGAAATTTACCATCCAGCAACTATTAGGAATAATTAATATGAGTAAAGATCACCAATGGATGATAAACTAGTAGGTAAAAGTTTGATGAGAAACAGAGTATTTACATAGTCTCAAAGTATCTCTCCACCAGATAGCTATCAATGACAAAGGAGAAAGTAATAACTTGACAATGGAGAAATCTGGAAGTCACCACTTTAGCCAAATAAAATTACCATCAAATCAGTATCACAGGACTCATCACATGAGGCATTAGAAGAACACACCACCGTCTACGGTATTTCTGATGAAAATAATCACCCTGAATTTGATGAGGAATATCAGACAAACCCAAATGGAGAGACATTTAACAAAATAACTAGTTTGTTCTCTTCCAAAGTGGTGAGGTCATGAAAGGCAAAGACAGGCTGAGGAACTGTTCTAGATTGAAGAACTAAAGAGAAAGGCTGACTGAATGCACCACGGGACTCCTAACTGAACACAACCAGACAAACTGTCCTTTCCTTTTGCTACGGAGGGTATCACTGGGACAACTGATGTAATCTCAGTGTAGCTTGTGGATTGGATGACAGTATTGTATCAATGTTAATTTCCTTATTTTGATAACTGTTCTGTTACATATGAGAAGCCACTCACTTTTAGAAAGTACCCACTGAAATATTTAAGGACAAAGGAGCATGATGTCTGCAACTTAGTTTCAAACAGTTCAGAAACAAAAAATAACATGTATCTACATAGAAACAGCACAGAAAAAGCAAACGATGTAAAGTGTTAGCATTTGGGGAATCTACGTAAAGAATACTTAGGAATTCTTTGTGCTATTCTTGTATCTTTTCTGTAAGTCTGAAATTATTACAAAGGAAAAAATAAAGCCCAGGTGTATTACCCCAGTGGTTACGTACTACATTCTACAAAACCCTCATCAAGTGATCACTTTGCAAAGCTTGCTCATTGAGGGAGTGATCTTACTGCTCACTGCCTTCTGATAGGAGCACTCCACCTTTAGACACTGACTGTTGGAGAATTCTTCCTTATGTTGAGTCCAAGTATACCCCTGAGTAATTTTCATCCAATAAACCTACGTGTCTTTTCCTGTGGTTACAATGTTATTTCCCTAAAACCTTTCAAGGGCTTTCCATCATCCTAGGTTTAATTGTAACACATTCTTTTTTTTAACGACCAAACTTCTCCCTCTCATTTCTTACTTCTGAAGATTCCTTTTCTCATCCCTGTAACAATTATTTCCTCTGTTATAAAATGAGGTAGATGGACTGGATGACCTCTAAGATCCTATTGAGAGACTGACTTCTCAGAGGCAAGGACTGTGAAGTATATGTATGTCTTGCACAAACATGTTGTAAATGAGGAATACACGTTAGATTGACCAAAACTTCCAAATCTAACATGCTAAGATTGATGCTTGACGGTCTCCAATAAGATGATCTCTGCACTAAGCCACAGATTAGATAAAACCTTCCAAAATTTGAATAAGAAAACATCTTGAAATTTATAATTGTTTTCCCATAATTCAGTACAATTTATAATGCATCAGTATAGGAAATAGCTGTGTTCATGAAAACTCACAGACAAATCAACTCTGCTCAGTTCAGTTTTGAACTCACTGTAGGTGCCCAATCGACACCTGTTTAACTGCACTTACTAGTTCCTTATATTACTGATTCCAGGACACGCTGGTGAATTTACAAGAACAGCCAGTGTGGAAGTCCACCAACATATAAAGTCTCTGGTGAAATTATCTCTGCTCAAGAATCACAAAAATCAGTTATCCTTTTCTTTTTAATGCGTTAACTAGGGCACAGAGAAGGTAAGCAACTCCTCCAAAGTTACACAGTAAAGGAAATTGAAAGTTGGAAGGAGAACTCAAGCTGGAAAGCTCTTCTGTCACAGCTCTTTCTGCTACACATCACTTCTACCAGCTGAATGCTAACATGCTTCCTCTAGGTCAATTTTTTCATTACATCTAAATGCATGATTGTTACTCTATCAAATTTCAAGGGGCCCCCTAGAAATAGAAGGTGTCTTGCTCTTTTTATTTGTAAAACATATACCTATTTGATATAAAAAACTTATTACGTTCCAGCTTCATTGCTAAATTTTATACTAAACCTGCTATCTAGTGTGTGTGTGTGTGTGTGTGTGTTTGTGTGTATGTGTGTGTCTGAGAGACAAATGTCTTTTACTTGATTAAACTATTGTCCTTTTAAAGAGAATTTTGAAGTTTTCGTATACTGCTGACTTGGAGGCGGCATTAAAGGCATATCTTAAGGTTTAGGAACCTAGGATATTGAAATATAACTGAAGATTCTCAAGATACAGTAAAGTATTGCGACACATGGTGGGAAAACAGTATATTAAAAGAGCTTGTGGGTTTTTTTTTTGTTTTTTTTTTTTGAGACAGGGTCTCATTCTGTAGCCCAGGCTGGAGTGCAGTGTTAGTTATACTCATGGCTCACTGCAATCTTGACCTGCTGGACTCAAGTGATCCTCCTGCCTCAGCCTCCCAAGTAGCTGGGACTACAGATATGCACCACCACACCTGGCTAATTTTTGTATTTTTTGTAGAGACGGGGCTTCCCCATGGTGCCCAGGCTGGTCTCCAATTCCTGAGCTCAAATCAGCCTCCAGCTTCAGCCTCCCAAAGTGCTGGGATTACAGGCATGAGCCACCATGCTTGGGCTAAGAGAATCCTTTTGTAATGTGAATCATTTCTCTCTTATTTCTGTTTGTTCCTCTAAACACAGATGTGCTGGATTAGCAGAAAATTAGATATGGTAATATTAGTAGGTATATCGTTTAAATATACATCTGTTGCACGCATCATCAAGACTAATCTTTGCCAAATTACAATGTAAATGGCTTAGTGATGAGTAGGTAAGGAGTTGAATCTGATAACCTTGGTGGTCAGAATAGAAACTACTAAAAAAAAATCCACCTAGATGAGGGACTTAAAGGCATGGAAAGATACAACATGTACTGTGTAGAGTAGCTTATTCTAGGAATATAAATGCATTTATAAGAAATGGCCCTTAAAGGAAACAACGTCAGCAGGATTATGTCTATCATACAGGCAGAGAGTGGGGTAGTCTAAGAAAATTCCAATACAGGTTTCTGTTACTTAACTGTGGCTCACTTCTCTTCAATACTGTGGCACACTGTTTTCTCAGGGTGCTAGTCAGGATAGCTGCATATTTCTTATTTCTCACATCCACCAATTCCCTCCAGACTACCACCTAATATATTAAATCTCATAACAAGTGATCATATTAATTCAAAAATAGTTTTTGTTTTCAGATGTGCAAAAATCTGTCAAATGAAGGCACTCTGATAAATCAAAGTTATTTCCCCAAAAAGTCTAAGGAGTAAGTTACTTGAGTTTTATTTTTTATTTTTTCCGAGACAAGGTTTCACTCTGTCACCCAGGCTGGAGAGCAGTGAGTGATCATAGCTCACTGCAGCCTAGAACTCCCGGGCTCAGGTGATTCTCCCACCTCAGCCTCCTGAGTAGCTGAGATTACAGGTGCATGCCACCAAGGCCAGCTAATTTGTTATATTTTTGGGGTGGCCAGCTAATTTGTTCTATTTTTTGTAGAGACAGGGTTCTGCCATATGCCCAAGCTGGTCTCAAACTTCTGGGCTCAAGTGCTCCTCTTGCTGCAGACTCCCAGAGTTGCCAGGATTACTGTTGTGACCCATCGTGCCCAGCCAGGTTTTATTTCATTTACTAGGTCTTGTTTCTCCCAAACTAGGAAATAAAATACATACTTGGAATTTGAATACTGAATGTTAAAAATCCAAATATGTATTTTATTTAATTGCATCATTATTTTTAATGATACAAGTCTACAAGACTAAGAAACAAGGCCAAAATCAAAACAATATTTTAAAAGCCACCCATAAATCCAGAAAGGTAAATAACTATGGCCCATCAGATGAATAAAGTGAGTTACCCAATAGGTAGAGAAGAAATACTAAATATCCTAAAAACCATCTCCCGTCATTTCTATGCTGTCTGAATTGTCTTACAAAAAGAGCCGGTGTTTACACTTTGTATTTCAGGAGTCCATATTAGGGCTTATTAGTATAATAAATTTCTAAATGTTTTCTAAAATAATGCCATGTCATTTTCCAAATAAGACAGTTCACTGTTGTTCCTTTTAATCTTGTACAAAGATGAGGGTGGGTGTCATTATTTCATTTCATGTATAATAAAAATAGTTCTGACTCAAAACCTTATGAGATAAAATATATAATCAATTATGCATGAGTATGTTACCAACTGAAACCATAGTTACGTTTCATTAATAGTGTACAGTTCCAAAAATCTTTCATAGGTAAGTTTGTAATTAATAATCTACCATACAGTTTAACTATAATTGGTGAAAGTAATTTTATGACAAAGGTATAATCTCTCAAAATAAAAAGGGCAAATAGAACATATAAATGTCTTATTAATCTACTATTTTAAAATAACACTTCAAAAAAACCTCTAAACATGGCCATATTAAACATTTCATAAAATTATAAATTTTTAAACTCTTAGCTTCAAAAAGATATCTGTATTGGAAAGAGCCTAAATGTGTAGTAACACTAAATTGGTTGAATTTGCCAGGCGCGGTGACTTATGCCTGTAATCCCAGCATTTTGGGAAGCTGAGGTGAGCGGATTGCTTGAGGTCAGGAGTTCCGGACCAGCCTGGCCAACATAGGGAAACCCTGTCTCTACTAAAAATACAAAAGTTAGCTGGGTGTGGTGGTGTGTGCCTGTGGTCCCAGCTACTTAGGAGGCTGAGACAGGATAATCACTTGAATCCAGAGGCAAAGGTTGCAGTGAGCCCCAATCATGCCGCTCCACTCCAGCCTGAGCAACAGAGCAAGACTCTGTCTCATATACATACATACATACATACATACATACATACATACATACATACATACATACATTGGTTGAATTAATTATAGTGCATCTAGAGAGGGAATTTCCTATAAGCTAGTGGCCTCTGGGTTTCTCACTTACAGGACTCCCTTCCAATATAGCTGATTTAAATACCCTTGTTAAAGTATAATAAACACATACAAAGTTAATATACCCTAAGTGTGTGGCCTGATGACTTTCCACAAGCTGAACACACTCAGATCAAGACAGAGAACATCACCTGTACCCTTACTCCTCCCGTCACCCCTCCCTCCTCAGGCCCAATACTCCAAGGCAACCACAGCCAGTCTTCTAAGAGCAGAAGTGCTCTGAGGGCCTGGATTCTTTCACTCAATTCAATGGAGGAGAGATGTTTTTCACACTGTGTGCAGTTGGAGAGCCTTTTATTCATTGCTATATAATATTTCACAATCTATTTACCCAGTCTACTACTGACAGGCCTTTGAATCTGCTTTTGCATTTGCTATTTTATATTACTTTCTTTAAAAAGGCTCCCAAAATTGTACAAGCTTTAGGCCTCACAAAATCAGGATCTGCTCCTGGGTACATCTATATGATTAAATGTATTGTTTTAAAAATCATGTTTTAGAATTAATAACACAGGAAGGTCAGATGCATAATACCCGTTCCCTATTATTTTGCACGCCAGAGGCACATGGTACATACTTAAAAAAAATGTTTACTGAATAAATGCCAAGTTGCAAAGTACGCGTCTACTCAAAGGACACTGTGACAGGTAAGGTGACAGAAACATTAGCTCCAATGTATTTGAGATCTGAATTGCCGTTACAGTATAGAAATTAACTAGTCCCTTCTCAAAATAACACACACGGTGTATAAACGGTACTAGAAGGAGAGAGAGGGACACAGAATTGAGCATGTGGTTAAAAAAAATGGAGTAAGAACCAAGAAACCTCACTCTATATGTCTGTCACTAATGAGCTTTTAAGATCTTGGCCAAGTCACTTCATCACAATGGGTCTCAGTTGTCTTATTTTTTAAATAGTAGGGTTGTAATCTCAGAGGGCACTTTACCTCTAAAATTCTTAAATTCTCTTACTACAAGATAATGATAAAGGGAAAGCATTTATATTATTCATTATATCAAAGCAATATTGGAAAATTCTAACAATAAATGCCATATTCTCATTACATTCTTATTCATATTCTAAATATTTAGGAATTAAATAACAAGGTGCTTTCTATGACAATTTTTTCTATGTGTCTTAAAGAACTGAACAAGAAATTCCAACTTTCATTAAATATTTGTGGGCTATTCTGGGCTAAGAAATGTATCTACTTATTTTACACAGTTTGTAAAATATTGAGAAATTATTATGTGAAATACACTCAAATATGAAAGAAGAAAAACCTCCCAGATTTCCATACCACCATTCTTGCCACCTCAGTCCTTAATGATGATCCCCAAAGTCACAAAGTCAGGTAGCTTTTTAGAAATTATGAAATCAGTATAAATTATTTCTAAAGACTCATGGAGACTGACAATTTTCTCACTTAAGCTAAGTAATTATCACCTAAATTTGTGTTTACCAAAAGGAAGTAACAGATAAGTTATAAAGTAAAAAGTATTTTAAAAATCCAAGAAAGGACAGTAACAGCGTAAAAAATAAACCTCAGACGTGGAATCTCCATTAGGAAAAAAAAAAAAAGTAGTGAGCAGATAGGAAAGTGGGCAATTTGAGTAAAGGAAGTTCAAAGAGAGATCTGAAAATCAGGATGACAGTTTTATTTAGATTTGCTAAAGATAAAGGCAGCAAATCAAAGTACAAGTGATAGGTCTGGCACTGTCCTATTTCTAGTACAAGAAAAGAGTCTGGAGGAAGAATCATGCACTTCCCAAAGTTTCAACAATCTGCTGGGGGAAGAGGAAAAATAGTTTTAATAGATGGAAGAAAATGTAAAGCACAGATGACAACTTCAGTGGAAATAATGACTTTGGCTATGCTCCAAAGATAAAGATAATTAAGTCAAAGAACTTTCCTGACTTTTAGGACAATATAGCTGTATTTTCAAGTAAGCTGAGTAAACACACAAACTGTCACATAACCACTGACCCCCGTGATTCTGTATACGGTGCTCACCTACAGGAATAGGTAAGACTGCCTCTCTCCTCTTTCTCCTATGTGGACAATAAACTCATTTCCAAAAACAGCATTACAGGAACTCCTGCTACAATAAATAAGTTGTTCTTTCATATTCGATTCTTATAAAACCAACAAGAAAACTTTTAGAAAACAATATGTACTTTAAAATACCTGCTTATGGCCCATTTCATTGAAAATACCTCTTTACAAGGGTTCCTAATTAATTTTAGAGAAAACCAGGCCCACAGTCTGAAATACGAGGACCTCTAAATGTGAAGCTAAAGTATTGCTTTCAGGTAATAATTAATCTTGTTAAATTTAAAAACTGCTTCACAATATTTCAGAAAATTAACCCTAAACAATAATCCAGTCTTTCTCTTACTAAAATAGTCGATTTCATCACTATTTGGGAACAAAGAAAAGAAAAATATAAAACACCGCACAAAATTAATTTATCTATGTACAGATTTGTTCTTTTGGTCATTAAGCGTCTCCCTTTATTATACAGACAAGATAAATTATAAGTAAAAAGGAGGAAAACAAACTTCCTTTTTATAAATATAAATTTAAAAGTTTAATAGTATGATAAAAAAACTTAAAGAGAAAAATAAATAAAATAAAAGTTTAATAGTAATATAAGATTACTATCACTTGTTTGGAGTTCAATTATTTTCTGTCGGTAAAATTAGTCGTACAAGAAAAAAATGAATACTCTTAAAATTTGCTGCTTTTATTGCCTTCTGGATTAAAACAGAATTAAAATGTTTTCCATAAAAGTAAAAACTTGCCACTTTTTGCAATTTATTTTTCTGCTAGTAAAGATTTCTCCTCTTTCTTTTCCTTTTTGAGTAATTAGACACCAGAGGCTTTGGGGGGTAAATTCACTAAACTAGATATATTTTAAAAGGACCATTGTTCTGGTTTTTAAAGCTCTAATTTTCTTAATATTGCATTAGGACCACCACACAAAGATAACTTTTGAAAAGAGGCAGTCAACTTCTCTTTCATGCTACTTTTCAACTGGAGGCCAACAACCCCTTCGTGCCCGCTGGCTCTGGAAGGACAGCATCCGTTTTCAGTGGAGGTTTCCACACATCCTTCTGTACCTCTTGGTTTTCTCTTTCTTATAACACAATCAATCTAATCCAGCAATAAAATAAATTGACCTAATGTTGAGGAAAAATTATCACTATTCAGCCAGAAAGAGAAATGGCTAAGTAGGTGGAAATGTAGACCAATATTATAAAGATTAATAAGCCAAAGGCTCAAAGAACGTCATTTATAGGACTTTAAAAAAAAAGTTTACAATTTCCAGAAAGGATGTCACATGCTTATATTACCTGCAACTTAAATGGTTAAATAAATAAACAATGTATGGAGACAGAAAAAAAATATCGAGGAGGAACAATTATGACAGCAATGGTGATTATTTACTACCATATAAATAGTGACTGATAAAGAATACATAAAATCAATATGAAGATTGGTTTCAGTCTCCTTATTTCAATTATCAGCTAAGATAAGAAAGCTTCACTTAAAACAAGGAAAACCTACAAACTGCTATCTATAATTGAGTATCAAAAGAAAAACAGCACATTTTGAAGGATTAAGAAGCACAAATGCAAGCAGGCACCACAACATTCCAAACTAGAAGTCTAAAAAGTTTAGAAAGGATTTTTTAAAATGGCTGTACTGAAGAAGGAAAAAAACCCGAGCTCAATACATAATTTCTTTAGTTTATGTGTTTTGAACAGTTACATGATACATACAGCTAAGAAATCGATGAAAAAAGTTTTCCATGTAATCTGCACCTAGAAAAGAAAAGAAATGCAATCTACATTTCACCTAATGTTGTGGTCATGTTTTGGGCCACAGAAAATTAACTGAAAAAAAAAACTAAGACAAAACATATCTGTTAGAGTCCATATTTTTAATATATTAATTAATATAATCCATAAAAACTATTCCTTTCAGTAAAAAAGAAAAAAAATCATGAAAATGTTTAGGATATTTTTGGCTTTAAATATATAGAGCTTATAGAGCTTATTTATATATTTAGGCCAGAACAGAAATTCTAAAATAATGAAATACTCACCATCATCCCTTGGTAAGTATAAAAGGTCTTTTTTTCCACACTATTCCCCACCTGAAGAAGCAGAAATCTGATTTATGCAGGAAAGCCCAGGGGTAAGATATATATAACTTCAAAAAATGATTGTCTTAACAAGTAAACTCAAGTAATATTTGTAATTTATAAATGCTGTCTACTAGCTGTCCTTTTGCATTTCTTTAAAAATAATTAGCCTCTAAAACTTCATCAGTACAAGTTTAAATGCAGAGCAATTAAGGATTTCCAAAAACATTGCTTTAATCTGCCCTTAAGTTTCTTTACTCTTTCTTGAAATGTCCGCAAAATTAATTGGACTCCTGAGCTCCATTCAGATAGATAAAACAATAAGAGGTATATTTTATATGACAAGCTCACAGCTTTAAAAAATCATTAAGAGCTTGGCAATAATATCTTCAATGCACTTACTATTACCTATTGATCCTAATGCACTTGACTTATCTGTAACGATAAAACTTATCTTGACCTTGCTGAATACAAATAGCCCAGACTAAAACCTGCAATGGCCTCTCGAGGGGAAACACAGCGGTAATCATGACCAAGATGATACAGGGAACCTAAGTGCTCAATACAAATGTGCCAACAGAATCAACATTTGTTTCAGTCTCACTTTGGTAATAAGAAATGAGAAAGCAACAGTTTTCTATCTATAAACAGCATTAAGTTCTTTTCTCTAATCAACCTTACACATTTTAATCAAGGAACTAGGACAGCCTCTGTCATGTCCTTCTGTTATTTGGCTGATTCTTCAAAATACCTGGTCCCATCTGCTTTATGACGTACCCTAAGGACAAGGGAGTGGGGGACTCCCCTCAAATTCGACACCCCCTTTTGACGGGGGGGGGGGGAGAACTCGGATGTCTTCCCTTGGGGACATCCATAACACCAAAGAAACTTAGATTTAGAAAATGACATTTTGTTCCAGTTCTACTAAACTATTCTAAATTTGCACCTGCAGTGACTAATGCATAAAAGATATTCCTAAATGTTTTTCTAAAATTACATGACAGGTTCCTCAACCATCTCGTTCATCTCTCAAATTTTACCCTACATTTTTATTGTCAAAGTAAATCACTAAGTAAACATTAAATTACCTGCTTTCCTAAGTCTGTGGATACAAAGTAAGTCAATGAAAGCCGTTTTCCACCTTTTAAAATAGGTCTGTTAGAGAGAAACACAATTTCAACAGAGCCAACTTTTTAGCTAGAGTATTTCATAAAGTTAGAAAAAAAAAATCTTGAAGAAAATACTAATTCCCTAATTTGATATGGCTATCGATTAAAGATTTAAAAACCCTAAGATTCCAGATTCTCAAATATTTTACAAATATTAAAGCACAGAATGAAATTAATTATAAACATATTAAATTATTACTTTTAATTTTTTCAGTTCCAAAAAATTGTATAGCAAATAATCTATAATTTAGTCTTGAAATAAGATTTCTGTTTGTTTTTAAACTACTTATAGAGACTTTGGGATTTATGGATAAATTATAACTTCATGAATTACACCTCTGACAACTCAAAATTCAGGCTTGGATTCTCTCTAAACTCCCTGCCCCCAAATATTTCCCAAGGCAGCCAGGCAATGAATGCACATTTAATGTTATTTTATATAACATATATGTCTTTTAAGAAAGAAAGAAATAACTTTAATTGTGCTTTAATACTATTTTAGTAGTTTGATATCTGTATCAAAATTGTATGATTTTAAGGCAGCGTGAAAAAGAAATTATATAAAGAATTTGCTAAGTAGATCAGTGGCTTTCTTAAGCAGTACACTAATGCAGATATAGTTTTGAAAACCCTGCAAGAATTAGTTGTCCTGTATTATTATTCAGGGCACCTGAAAGCAAGATATTATAACTATGGCACATTAACTCTGCTATTTCTCAAGATAGAACCAGGAGTTTTAAACGTTCCCCATTGAGTAATTTGCTCAGAGCACCTAAATGAAACATACTGTAATTTTATATATTTCCATCTACAATATTGCTTAGTGCTGATAAACGGCAATATAACTTCCTATATTTTAATAGGCAACAGTTCTGGCATTGGCTATACACGAACACAGACTTAAATAATAACGCCATCCACAAACTCTGCCACAAAGAATAAGGCTCCATTGCTAATTATACAGGGAACTGATTTTAATTACACAGAGAACATTGCTTTTAAAAAACACTTTCCAAACTGCAAAGGCGGAGGAGCGGGTAGCTACTGGGAAAGAAAGAAAAAAAAAAAAAAAAAAAATCAACCCAACACTTCTACCATGTTACAACAGTGCCCTCTACTGGTAAACTGGAAACTTTGCAGGTTAAAAAAAGAAAAATTAGAAAAGAATGCCAGGAAGAACAAACTTTAATTATGGAAATTTCGCTGACTTTCTTTAATATAAATAATGAAATTCAACTTGTGTCACTTTAAACCTAAATCAATATTTAACTTGACATGTGAAAAGCGTCCCGATTAAATTTATAGTTTTGAAATAACTGTGAATTTCAGAAACGTGGTTTCCCACTATATATCATCTGGCTAAAAGACAAATCATGTTTATTTTAAGTGATGAACAAATATTAGAAATATTTGGATAGTTAATCAATATTTCTTAATCTAAAATTCACATATTTAGTAAAAGAAATTAAAATCTAATTCATTAAATGTATGAATTTTTACTTCTCAGGCTGTCATGCATATAATGTCATGTCAAAATAGCAATCGTTGGCCTGGCGCGGTGGCTCCCGCCTGTAATTCCAGCACTTTGGGAGGCTGAGGTGGGCAGATCACCTGAGGTTGGGAGTTCAAGACCA
Source organism: Homo sapiens (assembly GCF_000001405.40). Classification (NCBI taxonomy): domain Eukaryota; kingdom Metazoa; phylum Chordata; class Mammalia; order Primates; family Hominidae; genus Homo; species Homo sapiens. The sequence continues at coordinate 7,871,656 of NC_000010.11, read as the reverse complement.
GCCTGACCAATATGGAGAAAACCTGTCTCTACTAAAAATACAAAAATTAGCCAGGCATGGTGGCACATGCCTATAATCCCAGCTACTTGTGAGGCTGAGGCAGCAGAATCACTTGAACCTGGGAGGCGGAGATTGCAATGAGCAGAGATCACACCATTGCACTCTAGCCTGGGCAACAAGAGCAAAACTCCGTCTCAAAAAAAAAAAAAAAAAAAAAAAAAGCAGCAGTTATTTGTCATCAATTTAGATTCAGAGAAAATTTACTATCAATTTATTTATTTTAACCAGTAAATATTTCTTTAATCCAATAAATATTTCTGTAAGAATATCTGGTTTTAGGAACAATTAATATATGCTTAGCACACAGATCTCAATAATGAAATAGCCATCATTACTAATATTTCCTTTGTTTGAAGTAGAAATTCTACCACATATGCAAGTCTGATTTACAAGAAATAACAAGACTTCCAGCTACATGTATTTTAAAATCTTTGAATTTTATATTGTATGATAGGAAACTTTTAAGTGAACTAATAAAGTTTAAGAACAAGTATATTAAACGACTGACTACAGTGTATTACTATTTTTAATTTCTAGCAAAAATAAACTGTTATGTCTAGACTAAAAATTTTCCGTTGTCTTTCCTTATACAAAAATAATTTCTATCACAGATACATACAATCTAAGTCATGAAAATTATACTTCTGAAAGCAATATAAGAACTTAATAGCTTTATAGGAAACAATTTTTTTTCATATTACAAGAAACTCTGAGCTTCAAGAAAGGTAAGGCTTAGAATACATTCTTTTAGCATCTTAAATATGGAGTGGGGGTGGCAGGGCAGAAGAAGGGATCAAGAACAAAATGGCCCCAGCAGGAGACTGTCAGGGAAAAATGTTAAGTGGGGGCAGGCATGAGTGTTAAGACACTCAAGGAAAGGACTTAGAGAAGAAGTGAAGGAAGGCGAACTCAGAAGCGTGTCGAGTTCTGCCGCTCGTTAAGGCCTAAAAACTCAAGTCAGGAGTCTGTAGAAGTTTAACAAGTTACCATCCTAACTCTTCAACAACAGACCGCCATTTTTCACTAACAGTTACAGTTTCCAATTGTACAATGGAAATCAATAGAAAAATGAAGTTTACATTAAAAAATGTATTTTATAATGAACCACCAGAAAGTATCTTCCATCAGGCAACACTCACGTAAATAAATTATATTCTAACCGACCACTGGAAGAAAAGAAACAAAAGTAATTAGGAAAGCAGCAGAGAATTAACTATAAGTAAAAATGGAGAGAACATATCCTGATGGATCTGAATTTGTTTTTTAAACAATATACTCCCGGAAAAGTGAGAATTGGTTTCTAATATACAGTAGTTCCAAAGTACAACCAATGACTGATGAGAATTTCATGCTCAAAGAAGAAGGAATGATGGACTTGGGATCAGAGTTTTATGATTCCCTACTCATAAGAATGAGTTCAAAGTTAAACCTCTATTCAGTAATGTAATGGGAAAGACATGTCTTTAGAGCGAGTCCTTAAAGCAAGTTTTGTTTTATGCCAATACCTACATTACTATTTGTATACTAATACAAGCCGTTTTCATTTCTCCTAATTATCTAATTTTTTTAAAGATGCTCACCTGAAATCCCTAAAAATAAATTTAAATATGCAAAACTTGGGGTCGAAAGTAGTTCAGTAATCTCTGGGCCAACCAAAACCCAGGGGTCAGGCGTGATAAAAGAGGCAAAGAATTTTTAAAGAGCAATTTATAATGGAAAAAGTACAAATAGTTTATAAACATAAATATATTCATTGGTAATCAAAGGCATGCAAGACAGAACTATTTTTCACCAGTCTGCCAAAGATCAAAAAGGATAATATGCACTGCAGATGCAGGCACAGGGAAGGAGGCAGTCCGTGCTGCTGCAGGGGTGCATGCTGGGACAGCCTTTCTGGAGGGCAACTGAAATATGTATCAAAAGCTTAAAAAGGTGACAATCAACACAGCAGTTCTTCCAGGAATTTCTCTTAAGGAAATTATGAGAAAACGCAAATGGATGTGTGTGATTAAGAATGTTAATAAAAGCACTGTTAAAATAGTGAAAAATTCTACACAATCTAAATGTCACAACAGGGAACTATGTAAATTCATGATGGCACACACAGGTAATGCAACACTATGCTCCCATGAGGATAAGTTAACAGACATGGAAAGACCTTCACAATAAAATAAGCTGGGGAGAAAACCCAAATCAGAGCACAGAATATATGGTGTGATCTCATTTTGGAAAAAGAAATCAACATCTATGTACGTATGTATTTATGTGTGTGTATGTGTGTGTGCGTCTCTACACTCCTGCCTCCACTCCACACACACACAGACACACACACACAGACACACACACACACGGTAGAAGTCAGGAAGGATTATTCTTCATGGGATTATATGTGACATCTTTCTTTTATCTTATCTGTAAACATTTTTTATCTACATTTTAAAATTTTTCTAAAGTTACTATCTTCTAGAATATTTTTTATTTTTAAAATAAGTAGAATATAATGTGAAATCTTTAGATTAACAAGCAAAATAGGGAATTGTTCTACGATGTATTGTTTTACACTCTGAATTAATTATGAATCCAATGATCCAATCTTGGAAGGACCTTGCTAGAAAAAAATATGGAGTTATGATTAAAAGCATAAATTCTGGAGTCAGACCTTCATAAGTTTAAACCCTGCCACTGCATTTCCTAGCTCTGTGATCTTAGGAAATTTAGAGTTCTCTAAGTATGTTTTTCATCTGAAAAATGGTGATGTGAATACTTGCCTTATAAGTAAAACAGATAACAAAATCATAATTATTATATTAAATGTATTACTGTTCTTGTTTACTTGGTACTTTCTAGGTGCCAAAAGACATGGCACTAGGATCTTTATATAGATGATCACTTCATCTTCACTACTACCCTGTTATGTGGGTACTATTTATGATCTATATTTTCCATAAGAGGAAATGAGATTTGGAATGTTTAAGTAACCCACCCAATAGAACATGGCTACTAACAGGCTGCTCCAGGATGTGAATCCAAGATTGTGTGCCTACAAGGCACATGGATTAGCCACTATGTCACACTGCCTCCACTCCTGATGGTCACTAGAACTTGGCCGCTATGTCACACCACCTCCACTCCTGATGGTCACTAGAGCTTGGCTGCTATGTCACACTGCCTCCACTCCTGATGGTCACTAGACTTGACCGCTAATGTCACACCACCTCCACTCCTGAATGGTTACTAGAGCTTGACACTATGTCACACTGCCTCCACTCCTGAATCACCAGAGCTGGACCACTATGTCACACTGCCTCCACTCCTGAATGGTCACCAGAGCTTGCTGTTCTTGTTCTTCTTCTTGTCATTACTTTTGTTGGATGATGACTTTCTATTATTCTTATTTCAGAACATCTCGCTTGTCAAACAATACAGTTGACCCTTGAACAACATGGCTTTGAACTACACATGCCCCCTTATATGTGGATTTTCTCCCACCTCTGCCACCCCTGAGACAGCAAGACCAACCCCCCAACCAGCCTACTCAACATGAAGATGACAAGGATCAACAACTTTATGGTGACCCACTTCCACTCAATGACCAGGAAATACATTTTCTCTTCCTTATGATTTTCTTAATAATATTTTCTTTTCTCTAACTTAATTTATTGTAAGAATACAGTACATAGTACATATAATATACGAAATACGTGTTAATCGACCGTTTACATTATTGGTAAGGCTTACAGTCAACAGTAAGCTATTAGTAAAGTTTTGGGGGAGTCAAAAGTTACACATGAATTTCTGCACAGGGGTCTGTGCCCCCAACTCCCATATTGTTCAAGGGTCAACTTTGTAATAAAAATCTAACTGTTCATTTTGGCTAACAAAGACATTAATCTTGCTTCCTATTCAAAGCTGCGCAAACTATCCTCCTTATCAAAAACTGCCAGTAGCCATCCTGTCTCCACAATATTGAAATACCATACAGGATGAGTGAGTACCTGTCTCCTCCATATTCAGACATCAGACAGAATGAGGGTGCCCCTTCCTTATATTCTACACACCCTCCAGAACTACACTGTGGATCTCCTAAAGGCAAAACAAACACAAATGGGCTAATTTCAGAGCCAGGGTGTAATTTTTAAATGAATCAGGAAATATTTGCGAGCTGTAATTTAAACACTAGGTTTCCTAAAATCTCAGCATCAGCATTAAAATTCTAGAAGAAACAAATGACTAAATACTAATTTCTTCCTCTAAAATACAAAATAATTTTAAAATGCATACTTAAAAATCACATCTTTTTTTGGTGGTTTTTGTTTTTTGTTTTTTGTGTGTGTGTGTGTGTGACAGTCTCACTCTGTTGCCCAGGCTGGAGTGCAGTGACATGATCTCGGCTCACTGCAACTTCTGCCTCCTGGGTTCAAGCAATTCTCCTGCCTCAGCCTCCTGAGTAGCTGGGATGACAGGGGCATGCCACCATGCCTGGCTAATTTTTGTATTTTTAGTGCAGATGGGGTTTCGCCATGTTCACCAGGCTCGTCTCAGACTCCTGACCTCAGGTGATCCGCCTGCCTCGGCCTCCCAAAGTGCTAGAATTCCAGGTGTGAGCCACCACGCCCAGCCGAAATCATATCTTTAAAAACTGCTTTCCTCAGTTTGGAATTTAAATTGCACATTGATCTAAAATTTATCTTTTAAATTTGGAGTTCCCATTTCAGGGAGATTACTTTTTAGAGCGCACCATAAAAACAAATTAATAAACCACTTCTCTTTGTTTTCAACCTAAGCTTTATTTAACCTGATGCGTCCAACACTGCAGGGTTTTCCTAACACTCGCCTCTAATTGGGCTTTCTAGGGTCTTTTTCCACCTGGCAACTTTGGCTTTTTCTATAGCTCTCCTTTCTAATAACTTAAAACTCTTCAATGGTTTCCCATTGCAGTTAAAACAAAATCCTCATTCTTCTCCCTGATTACCAGATAAGCACTGACCTCTGCTTCATCTTACGCCACGCTCCCTCAGTAGATTCTAGGCATGTTGGCCTTATTGCTGTTTCTTGAAAACATCAAGTTGACTCTCACTTCAGAGGTTTTGCGCTCACTCTTCTCTGTCTAGCACACTCTTCTTTGCTGGTCACGATGACTGGCTCTCATCACTGAGCTATCAGCTTAAGTGCTCCCTTCTCAGAGAAGGCCTGCCCTGAAATTCCGTGGTCAGCCACCATCACAGGCCCCTACGTTCATTCTCTTGTGCATTGCACTCAGCCTCATCTCTCATCTTCTTATTTGGATGATTAGCCCACATGAGAATGCGAGCACCATGGAAGCAGAGCCTGCCTATTTATTGACTGCTCCATCCCCCGTGCCTGGAAGAGTGACGGCACAGAGTGGACATGTGCTGAAAGAAGGGAATTTCATTCCATTTGCTAATGATAAAAGGAACATATGCATACTGGAGGAACTTAGAAAACACAGGAGAGTTTCAGAAATTACTTTACGATCCAGAAAAAACTGCTATTAAGTGTTTCCTTTATCCATCACTAAGATGACTCTCAAATATTCTTTCCCACCAACAGGAAAGAGCTACAGGATATGCTATTGGGTAAAACGAAAGTCAAGGTGCCGAACATGGTGCACCACATGCTCCAGTCTGTTACACACGATGGGGAGGATGAAGTATGGTCATAGTTGCTTTTCTCTGCATAAATCAACGCTGACAAGATGCAAGAGACATAAAACGGAGCAGCTAGAAGGAGCAGAAAGGAAGGAAATGGATAGGGGAGGTGACGGGAGAGTCCTTGTCAGTGTCTATCCTCTGCTGCTGTTCGAGGTTTGACCTCAGCTCAAGTACTGTCCATTCAAGAGAAGCACATTTACTAAGCAACTTTCTATTTTTCCTTCACCCCTGCCTGTGAAAGCCTAACTCTAAGAATGAACCTAGTTGCTACTTTGCACGTGGCTGCATCCACCCTGCCGGGGCTGCTAAAGCCAGCGACACGCAGGCCTGTTACTACGCCCACCTCCAGGGAGGCCCCACACAGCTCAGCACGCACCAAGGTTTCTAGGCAGCTTGCTCCCCTACTTTCTGTTTGTTTCTTTGTTTGTTTGTTTGTTTGTTTGTTTGAGACGGAGTCTCACTCTGTCCCCCAGGCTGGAGTGCAGAGGCGCGATCTCGGCTCACTGCAAGCTCCGCCTCCCGGGTTCACACCATTCTCCTGCCTCAGCCTCCCGAGTAGCTGGGACTACAGGCGCCCGCCACCATACCTGGCTAATTTTTTGTATTTTTTAGTAGAAACCCTGTCTCTACAGGGTTTCACTGTGTAAGCCAGGATGGTCTTGATCTCCTGACCTCATGATCCGCCCGCCTCGGCCTCCCAGAGTGCTGGGATTACAGGCATGAGCCACCATGCCCGGCCCCTACTTTCTGAACCACTATTCCCTGCCCTCTCCACTCCTGAAGCTCCTGACCCCCAGGCCCCACTCACTTCCCTCTGAAGCTTCCCATGAGTCACCACTGGTGAGGACTCCCTCCTCAACCCATCACTCTATCCACAAATCCACCGGCATTTCTACCAAGCTTCTCCCATAGCAATGGAATTCAACAAATGGTGCAGGGATCCTTTGACATTCATTCTCCCAGCCACCCACCCCAGCCACCCAAAACCTAAAACTATAAAACTTCTAGAAGATAACACAGGACAAAAACCTTTGTGATCTTAGGCTAGGCAAAGATTTCTTAGGGCACAAAGAGTACAAAACATAAAAAGGAAAAAAAAAAAGATAAACTATATTTCCTTAAAACTGAAACATTTACTTCTTGAAAGATAATGTTAATAAAATGAAAAAGCAAACCACAGGCTGAGAGGAAATATTTGGAAAACAAATAGATGATAAAAAACTGATGACCAGGATAGGTAAAGAACTTTCACAGCTGAATAATAAAAAGACAAACAAGCCGTATAACCCCACCATTCTACTCCTGGACATTTACCCAAGAAAAATGAAAACACGAGTCTACACAGAAACCTGTACATGAAGGACACATTATTACGCTTAGATAGGAGGAACACATTTCAAGAGATCTGTTGTATAGCAATGTGACTACGGTTAAGAATAATATACTGTAGTATTTTTTTAAAATGTAGAGAGTGGATGTTAAGTGCCCTTACCACAAAGAGTTAACTATGTGACACAATGCATTTGTTAGAGTTAACCATTCCACAGTGCCTATATACTTCAAAATGCCATGTTGTACACAGTAATAACATATAATGATGATATCTGTCAATTAATTTCTGAAAAAAGTAAAACTATGGAGACAATAAAATGATCAGTAGTTGCCACAGGTTGGGGTAAGGGAGGGAAGAATAGGTAGAACACAGAAAAATTCTAAGGCAGTGAAACTACTCTGTATGATGTTATAATGGCAGGTATTTGTCATTACACATTTGTCAAAACACAGAGAATGTACAACACCAAGAGTGAACCTAAGGAAAACTACAGACTCTGGTAATAATAATGTGTCAAGGCAGGTTCATCAGTGTACCTACCACACTGGCTTAGGATACTGACAGTGGGGAAGGATAAGGGGATGAAGGAGCAGGATGAATTTAGGAACTCTGTACTTTCTGCTCAATTTTGCTATGAATCTAAAACTGTTCTTAAAAATATTAAGTCTATTGTTAAAGAAAAAAACTATGTATGCCATGTAAAACATTGAAAATATGAAATATTTACGGATAAAGTTTATAAATTATGTATAAGAGATGCACTGAAAACTATAAAACATCACTGAGAAAAATTAAAGATCTTTAAAAAATGGAGACATGTGCCATGTGTGTATATATATATGTGTATATATATATGTGTATATATATATGTGTATATATATATGTGTATATATATATATGTGTGTGTATATATATATATGTGTGTATATATATATGTGTGTGTGTATATATATATATATATATATTTTTTTTTTTTTTTTTTTAGACAGAGTTTTGCTCTGGTCATCAGGCTGGAGTGCAGTGGGGCGATCTCAGCTCGCTGCAACCTCCGCCTCTGAGGTTCAAGCTATTCTCCTTCCTTAGCCTCCTGAGTAGCTGGGATAACAGGTGTGCACCACCACACCCAGCTAATTTTGTATTTTCAGTAGAGACGGGGTTTCACCATCCTGGCCAGGCTGATCTCAAACTCCTGAACTCAGGTGACCTGCCTGCCTCAACCTCCCAAAGTGCTGGGATTACAGGTGTGACCTGTCATGCCCAGCCTTATATTCTTTAATCAGAAAATTCAATATTGTGAAGATCTCAACTCTCTCCAAATTGGTCTATGGGTTCCATGCAGTCCCAGTACAAAACCCTGCAGTCTTTCTTGTAGATGATACATTGATTTGAAATTTTATATGAAAATGCAAAGAACTCAGTGTCAAGAATCATAAAGGGTCTGAAATGCTGTCCTACTTCCAAGAAGTTAGTCCACCACAGTTTCCTGGATTTTCACAGAAGACATCAGACTCCTAGGTCAGAGATAAAGCATAGCTTATTGTTCACAGCCATTCCATTCCTGGGTATTTATCCAAGATAAATGAAAGCATAAATGTTCATATCAACGTTATTTGAAATAGTCCAAGACAGTAAAAAATCCCAATGTCAATTAACAGCTGAATGGGTAAAGAAATTGTGGCATATACACGTAATGGAACAATACTCAACAATAAAAAGGAGTAACTTATGGATATTTGCAAAATATCCAGAATTTTGGATGAATCTCAAAATAATTATATTGGTGAAAAAAGGCCAGACCAAAAAACAGTACATACCATGATTTCACTTATATAAAATTCTAGAAAAATGCAAAATAATCTACAATGACAGTAAATAGGTCAGTGGTTGCCTGGGGATCCCCCTGGGGAGGAGGGAAGAGGAGATATGGATTGCAAAAGGCTTAAGGTAACTTTTCAGGGTGATGGATATCTTCATAATTTTGACTGTGACAATGCTTTCACAAGTATATACATATGTCAAAACTTAAAAATGTTATAAACATGTACAGTTTACTGAACATAAATTATGCCTCAATTAAGGTAGAAAAAAATAAAGATAATAGTCCAGAAAACAGACACATATACACACACAAATCAAAACCTAAAGAGATTTCTGCTGCTGCCCATCATAGGAAAAACAGCTTGGAGTTTGAGTTGAACTAAGGTAACTTCCTGCTGAAACAAAAAACAAACATCAGGAAAACAGCAGAATCCACCTTCTCTACAAACTACACTCACAATGTCAAGAACATAATCCAAAATTATTAGACATGTGAAAAAACAGAAAACTTTGATCCATACTGAAGAGAAAGGCAATCAAATGAGACCATCACTAAGAGGAGCCCAAGAAGCTATTATTACTATGTTCAAGAACATAAAGGAAAATATATTCACTGGCAATCTCAGGAGAGAAATGGAACTCTAAAAACAAACCAGATGGTAACTCTACAACTGAAAAATATTATATCTGAAATTCAAACTTAACTGCATGTGTAGCAGAAAGCTCAGTGACCCTGAAAATAGATCAACATAAATTATCAAATTGGAAGAACGGACAGAATAAAGACTGAAAAAAATGAGCAGAACATCAGTGACTCTATGGAACAATATCAAAAGGTCTAACACAAGTTTAATTGGCGTCTCAGAAGGAGATGATAGGGAAAAAATATTCAAAGAAATAAATAGCTAAAAACTTTCCAGTTTGGAAAAAGACATAAATACACATTAAAGAAGTTCAGTAACTCCCAAGCATTGAGAAAAAAAAAGAAAGAAAACCACACCTAGGCACATCCTAGTTAAATTGGTGAAAGCCAAACATAAACAGGAAGGCCTGAAAGCAGCAACAGAAAAACAGCACATGAGATCCATGGAACAGTAAGACAAATGACGTCTGACTTCTTATCAGAAACAATGGAGGTTATGAGATGGTGGAAAAATATCTGTAAAGTGCTAAAATGAAAAAAAAAATCAGTACAGAATTATATAATCATTTTTTATGGACTTTTTTGAGAAATGGCTGATTTCACGTCTCAGTCATGACATATACAAGATGAACCTGACTTGTCCCATCAGATAACAAGGAACCTATATCAACAATCACTAGGATCTAGTCAAAAGGAATAGATGCAAAGATGAAAAGGCTCCTGTTGGCTGGGTGCGGTGGCTCATGCTTGTAATCCCAGCACTTTGGGAGGACAAGGTGGGTGGATCACAAGGTCAGGAGTTCAAGACCAGCCTGGCCAAGATAGTGAAACCCCATCTCTACTAAAAATACAAAAATTAGCCGTGCAGGGCCGGATGCGGTGGCTCACGCCTGTAATCCCAGCACTCCAGAGGCCAAGACGGGCGGATCACGAGGTCAGGAGATCGAGACCACCCTGGCTAACACAGTGAAACCCAATCTCTACTAAACATACAAAAAAAAATTAGCCGGGCATAGTGGCAGGTGCCTGTAGTCCCAGCTACTTGGGAGGCTGAGGCAGGAGAATGGCATGAACCCATGAGGCGGAGCTTGCAGTGAGCCGAGATGGCGCCACTGCACTCCAGCCCAGGCGACACAGCAAGACTCCGTCTCACAAAAAAAAAAAATTAGCTGGGCATGGTGGTGGGTGCCTGTAATCCCAGCTACTCAGAAGGCTGAAGCAGAGAATTGCTTGAACCCAGGAGGCAGAGGTTGCAGCGACCCGAGATCACACCACTGCATTCCAGCCTGGGTGACAGAGCGAGACTCTATTTCAAAAAAAAAAAAAGAAAGAAAGAAAGAAAGAAAGAAAAGGCTCCTGTTAGCTAAAGACTGGGCAACTGGACTCCAATATGGACAATAATTGAGATGGATTAAAACCCACTAAAAATGTTTAAATCAGTAAGTTCAGAATGATATAAAAATTTAATTGGTACCTTTTGTAGGTGACAATGAGTCATTCTGTTAAGTTGAAAACAATGTATAAAAGAAATCAAGCATTTATCTTTTTTGTTTTTTTCTATATGAACTACACCTCTGGACAACCAAGTAGTACATGAGGGGAAGTATCTCGAAATAATTCCATAAAATGTACAAATACACTCATAAAATAATACATATAAAATGTGTGCACTAAAAGTGTAGGGGTTACTTTTGGAGGAAAGAAGAGGCTGTGATTGGGATGGGGCAAAGGTACAACTTTATTCTCTCATAGATCATATGCTCCTATCATACCAACCATTTATAAAAACTAATTTTCAAACGCTTAATAATTCATTTCTTGAATTTTTCTTTTTTTTTTTCTTCTTTTTTTTTTCCAGACAGGGTCTGGCTCTGTCACCTACCCAGGCTGAAGTGCAGTGGTGTGATCTTGGCTCACTGCAACCTCTGCCTCCCAGGCTTCAGCAATCCTCCCACTTCAGCCTCCCAAGCAGCTGGGACTACAGGCATGCACCATCACACCCAGCTAATTTTTGTATTTTTTAGTAGAGACAGGGTTTGGCCATGTTGCCCACACTGGTCTTGAACTCCTGAGCTCAAGCAATCTGCCCACCTTGGCCTCCCAAACTGCTGGGATTACAGGCATGAGCCACCACTCCTGGCCAAACTAGAATTTCAAAAGGTGAATTTCAACATATGTAACTGCCATTAGTAGCCATATTTAGGATGAGATGGATTGAGAGGCATGAACCAAGGATGCGTAATAATCATTATGAAATAATAAGTTATCTGGGAAACGGCCATTTGTCCAACATTTACTAAGTGCCTACTAGGCACTGTACACCATTATAAGTGCTAGGAATGAAACAGTGAATAAAATTGACAAAAATATCTCTTCTCATGGATTACATTCTAGTAGAGGAAGAAAACAAACTAAATGAGTAAAATAAAGTGCAGCCATAATGCCCCGGCGGAAAAGTGGAATACAACACAATGGGCAGATGAACCGTATCCTGTTCCCTCACTTCATTCTCAAATGGAGGGCAAATGGAGGGCGTCTAAGGTTCTTTATCAACAGCAAAGACATGAGGTAGGAATGGAGGAGGTGAAACCCGGCCAGTGCCCAGTGGACAGCCCTATCTCAGACTTGACTTCAGGAACTGGCGATGTTGGAATATGGGTCCCTACTATTCTCCCCCAATCTGGAATGGACTGAAGAAAAGGCCCATGTCAGATGATTTCAGAAATCCCCGCTGCCCTCCTGAAACTCAGAATCCACATGGCAGGATCTGAAGGCAGGATGTGTATATGTAGAAGAGGCATCACACTTCTCTTTTATTTATTTATTTATTTATTTATTTATTTATTTATTTATTTATTTATTTATTTATTGAGATGGAGTCTCACTCTGTCGCCCAGGCTGGAGTGCAATGGCATGATCTCAGCTCACTGCAAGATCCGCCTCCTGGGTTCACGCCATTCTCCTGCCTCAGCCTCCCGAGTAACTGGGACTACAGGTGCCCACCACACGCCCAGCTAATTTTTTGTATTTTTAGTAGAGACGGGGTTTCACCGTGTTAGCCAGGATGGTCTCGATCTCCTGACCTCGTGATCTGCCCGCCTCAGCCTCCCAAAGTGCTGGGATTACAGGCGTGAGCCACCACACTTTTCAATAAGGTGTTCTAGAAAGGCCTCGACAAGATGACATATGAATAGAGCCCAGAAGACGCTGAAGAGGCCAGCAGTAATGGAGGAGGATACATTCACATGTTCATATGCACACACGCACACTCACACGTACATTCAGTGACATGCAGGCGCGCGCACACACACACACACACACACAGAGCCTATAATGTACCAGTGAAATCTGATGATGATAATGTTGACATTAAAATAATTCATAGCTGCTAACATGTGCTAAGCATGTGAATATGTCCCGGCCACGGTTCTAAGCATGTTATACACATTAAACTCACTGCAATCCTAAAATAAGTTCTCATTAACAGTAGATATATTGACAGGCAGAACACACAAAAAGACTGAACTTAGTTAATAATCTAAGACAATTTTCAACATGACACAGATACGAACTTGCCAATCAATGACATTTTTCTGCCTCCCAGTTCAGAAAGTACCTAATCAGTAAGATCCGGAACTAGTGAAAAAACAGTTAAGTATAGATGCAAGAACAACCCCTGCTAATGATCATAATTGTAGCCTAGCTGACATAAACGATTGTATCATCCAGGAGGTTCTAAAGGATCAAGCGCCAGGAAGAAAAACTAAACATACAATTCAGGAACAGAACCAGAATCCAAGTCCAAATGATACAATATTACTGGCAATTGCTTGTAACATCACTCACTTCTTTGATGACCTGCAGACCAGTGGCTTTAGAATAAAGAGGAGGATCTTATATTCTATCACAAAAATTCTCTGGGAAAAGACAGTGATTCTTAACAGCCAGGCCAATCGTTATTTTGATTATATATTTTGAACTACATCCCATAGTTCTTTTACTATGGGATATAAGAGGAAGCAATATGATTTCATGTCCCTATTTGTAACAAAACAGAGCCCAAATGTTAATATTCTACTGAGGCCGTTCAAACCTCTTTGTAAGCTGTCAACTCCATAAATCCTCAAATTCCACTCTCCCCTACTCCTACCTCCCCCAGATAATTCAGCTGGCAAAGTTTCTGAGAAATCCCTAAGGTTAGCAGAAAAAAAAAAAAAAAATCAGAAATGTTGAAAAGAACCCTGGGGTGTGATATAGCTGAAAATCAAGAGAGTTTCTTCCCAATGAATTTAGAAAGCTAATAGTACTTTCATAACTTCTCTAATTTTCCCCTGCCTTTTTCTTTCTTAACAAAAACATCACTTAAGATACTGAGGTAAATAATCACATAAAAAAGCTGACAGAAAGCTAAGAGCTTTTCTTAGATATTTATACCCGTGTGAAAGAAAAAAGTCATTATTTCCCTCAAATCAAAATACAATTACCCTTTCATGAAATAACTCACAAACAGGATGAAGAATGCAAGCAACATAAAATCAAAATGCCCTTTAAAACATTAGAACAAGTCTGAGTAGAGGCTTGTGACATCCACAAATGATACACTACCCAGTGTCCACCTCCACACTCCGAAGACTGTGTGGCACCAATTCCCTTCCTCTCTGGGGGTACCCATGGCTACTCTGTAGGCGTCCTGCCAACTTCTCCTCCAGCTCCAGAGAACTTTCTCCCGGACAGACTGTTTAAGGGGGCAGTGGGAAGAAACTGCTCTAACTTGCTAATCGGATAAAACTATGTACCTGTGATAGGGAAGGCAAAGTTTCAGAAATGTTGAAAATGTAGATTACATTTATAAGTGAGCTGTGGCTGTTCCATTGTGAAGAACACAAACAGCTGAGGAAATATTCTTCCAGTATTCAGAAACTAGTATCCAATTCAGCAAAAAAGTCACTCATATCATTAAGCAAGGAGGGAGGTTTTGACATTCGTATGTGTTGTTTCACTTTTGTCTTCCTCATTAACATAAAGGAAAATATCAACCAACATTCACGTTGGAACTATATTCATCTGTCAGTTGTAACAGTGGTTTGCTTACGGACATGAAAGTTGGGAAAATTAACAAAAGCATTCTCTGAGAATCAGTTGGCTACATGGAATTTACTACAAGGATATTGCTTATCTCATTAGTATTTGTAAATGTTTTACTACACATTTTTATGTTAGTAAAATAAACTTGTGAAGCATTCTTTCTGCTTTTTTTTTTTTTTTTTTTTTTGAGAACCAGCTGTTAAACATTTACCAGAGCACCAGTGAGTGGGACCGTCTTTAAGTTGGCTTCGGAGTCCTTTAGATAAAACCCTAATCTTTGGTAGCTTCCTTGCTACTTGGTATAACAAAATGTTCCAAGTCACTTTGCAGATTTTCTGCCCTAGATTTGGAAAAAGCCATTTTTCGAAGGAGCCCTTGTTCCTTTTAGAGGGAAATAAATTCAAGGCAACAATCTGGCTTTATTGGTCCTCAGTGTCACACGGATGGTCACTGCTCCTAGGCTTCTGCTCTGAACTTTTGTTGTTCAGATATTAGGCTTCCTGGACTGGTTCTATAATTTTTAAAAAATCTTTTCTCTTTTAAAATCTATTTTTTTATTTATTTTGAGATGAAGTCCTGTGTCATCTGCCCAGGCTGGAGTGCAGTGGCATGATCTCGGCTCACTGCAACCTCCACCTACTGGGTTCAAGCGATTCTCCTGCCTCGGCCTCCCGAGTAGCTGGGATTACAGGTACACACGCACCACCACTCCTGGCTAATTTTTGTATTTTTAGTAGAGACGGGGTTTCACCATGCTGGCCAGGCTGGTCTCGAACTCCTGACCTCAAGTGATCCGCCCGCCTCGGCCTCCCAAAGTGCTGGCGTGAGCCACTGCGCCCAGCCAAAATCTTTTCTGATTCTGCTTTTTCTAGGATTTCCTTACCTTTATTTTCTAGTTCTCGACTGCATTTTAAAAAAATTTCTGCTGCCATGATTTCCCATTTCCAAGAGCTCTTTTGGCCTGGAATGCTGCTTCTGTGGCTTCCCCTTCTTCTTTTCCCCCATTTCCTCCTTTAAAATAGCACCCTGCTCTTGCTTCCTGGTTATCTTTTCTTGTCCTCTCTTAGAATACTAGTAGAGAACTATTACGCTTATTTTTTTTTTGTCTTTTTTTTTTTCCTTTTTGTGGAGAATGGGGTCTCGCTATATTGGCCAGGCAGGTCTCAAACTCCTGGGCTCAAGCTATCCTCCCGCCTCTTACCTCCCTGAGAGCTGGGATTACAGGTGTGAGCCACCACGCCCAGTGTAAAGAACTATTTCAAATTAATTCCTCTTGCATGACTGTTTCCTCTAAGTTGCTTTTTAGTTGGTTTTGCTCCCTTTCATATCAGATGTTTTCTTCCTTTGTCTGGTAAGCCTTTAGAATGGAACTAAAAAAGCTGTCTGGGAGCTTTGAGTATGTCAGTGGGACTCAGGGCTTGGGAAGTGGGGACTCCACTGTAGAGGAATCGGATTGAGCTATTTATTTGGGAAATGCCTACCATCAATATCTTTGGGTATCCTATCTAGGTTTGATCAGAATGCCTAGAGAAATCTCAAATCTCCTCCCCAAAGGATGAAGAAATGGCTGCCAGCATCTCAAATGGAAGGAGGCTGGACATCTCGGCATCCGGTGTATTCACATTCCATGAATTCCCCCTTGTTTTCAGGATGCCATCCCTGCCTTCTGGTCTGGTGTGTTATCACAGGCCTCAACCCACGGTCCCTTTGTTTGGCCCTTTGAAGTCAGTCTTTTGTAGAGGCAGCTGCTCAGCTGCACCAAACCAGGGAGGAAATCCATGTATCCATTTGCTTCTTAAACAGATTTTCAACCATTTCTCTCCCTCACTTCCAGAAGTACCTGAAGCCACAAAGCCTGGGGCTCTGGATGGGTCTTAGGTTTCCGCATTGCTGGCTTGGGATTCAGTTGTACTGGGTCTGCTAAGTTCTTTACCATTTGACCCTCGACTTTCCAGTTTCAAAAAATGGGTTACTCTTGCCTTTTATCCCATTCTATTCATTTTTTTAGACTTACAAACTTAACAACTACAACAACACCTTAAAACCCCTTCACTGTAATTTTAGCATGGTGACATAAGGGAGCTTAGGTGAATACATAGATTTAATTCTCCATCTTCAACCAGAAGTCAAAAGTGTTTAACAAATACCACTTTTGCTGTCTCATTCTGTTCATCCACAACACTCAGTGGTTCAGAAGTTCACACTACAATCTAAATGTTCCAAATGGCTTCCATGCTACTGTAACATACTACTGATCTACGTATGGATCTGAATACTTACTGTCCTTCACAAACCAGGAAGCCCCCTTCGAATACACACAGAAACATGCACATATTTTCTTCCCTAGCTTCCTGATTTCCTAGTGAAGCTCCCCTCCCCCCGCCCCCCCATTAGAGGGCTCTTTTCAGTTCTCTTCACTGAAATTTAAATCTTATCCTTCAAGGTCCAGGTTCAGGTCAAGATCTACCTCCTCCCCAGGCTTCTTCCAGTTGCTTTACCTCACAGAAGTCTTTCCCCATTCTGAATCCATATTATACTCACTGCAGTAATGAAAGTGCTTTGTATATGTTAGCTTTGTCTCTTTAGCATGTTAACTTCTTAAGAGCCAAAAATCACATAGAGCTTCCATGTGTGTATCTCGCTGCGGCTCGCATAACAGTGTGGACCTAGAAATTGTTTTGGGGCAAATAATTCCTTCCAGTTATCTTACGTAGGCAGTTTGGGGGCTGCTATTGCTAGAAGTCAACAACTAACTTAAAATAGAAACTCTATGCATGTTTGCAAATATGTGTTGGCTGACCAGAATTCCTGTGCAGTACTAAATTCTCATGAGCCTTGAATATATTATCCCTGTAAACCTGATGGTTCTTACTTCTTATTCAATTTCCAAATATCTCATTCAAGGGGTTGAATCATTTCAGTAATGACATCGGTCACTGGATCCGATTGCAAGTGTATTGAGAGATATGCTGGTAAATGTTTAACAACTGGCTGAGTGGGGCGAATGATTGTGTGTGTGTTTCTTCTAAGTTTTGTTGATATAAAGGAGGCACAGCACATAATTTACAAATAAAAAGAACACTCTTTATTATAAATTCCATGCAGCCAATTGATTCTCACAGATGTTTTTATTGATATTTCCAAAACTTATCTATCAGTGGCCAACCTGTGGTTGCAACTGATGGATGAATGCAGTTTGGCATGAATGTTGGTTTAGACTACAGAAGAGCACACTTAAAGGACCAGATGGTAACTATTTTAGGCTTTTGGGATATACAGTCTCTGTCACATCTCATCTCCGCCATTGTAGTGCCAAAGCAGTCACCCATAATATGGAAAGAGATGTGTTCCAATAAAACTTTATTTACAGAATCAGGCTGCAGGCCAGGCAGTTTGCTGACCTCTAGTTTAATCTAAAGCAAAACAAGGAAGGGGTATGTGAGAATTTCACGTGTCAATGATGTGAGCAACTTCTTTGCTGAATCAGATAACAGTTGAAGAATATTTCCTCATTTTTATACCATTTTTGGTACTACTTACAATGGAACAGCTACAGATACTATACATTTTGAAGTTTAATCTACATTTTTCACCACCACCTCCTGACGTCTAGACAATAAAAAAGACAATAAATCATGCCATGATCTGTAGCATTTGCTGACTGCTGTGATGTAAACACTCCTACAATGGCCAATTTCAAGCCGCCAATGTAATGCCCCCACATGTGGAGTTGGGAGGTGTTCAGAGGCACAGTTATATAGTATTTTCACCCAACTCTACAATAAACTTAACCTCAAAAATAAGATAACTAGAAAGTGATGGAGTTTGAGCACCTTTGCTTCTAGTATAATTTATTTAATTATAAGTTTATATGATTTTTTTAAATAAAGGCTGTGTTTAACAACCAGCCTATAAACTGACTGAATATTAAACAACATTTGCCAACTCACTCTCAAAAATGGGTATGAGCCAGCTCCAACACACCACTGGTCTCATATGCCAAAGATGGGACAATTTGAACATCAATGGATAATAAATGGACTAATATCTATCAAATCTGTTTAAATCCATGAGATCATAATGATACTTTCAAAAAACATATGCACAACTAGTTGGTGACTATTGGAAGAAGGTAGGAAACAAATTCATTATTTTGAAAACTGATGAATGAAGAAAAGGGATCAAGCATTCATCCAGCTTTTCATATACAAACTCTACCACCAGGAAACCAAATAGTAGATGATAGGAAGTTTCTCTTTATAGAAGCACTCCAGCTTGTGAAGAAAACAGAATTAGACTGTTACCAATTTGCAACTTCTATTGACTTAATGGTTCAATGTTTGCTAAAATCACACCCACACATTCACAAATGATATTATGTTGATATTATGTGTACTCTGACGGAGTTACACACCCCCAGCTATGAAGTAGTCTTGCCAAAACAATTGAACATGACATTTCATCAAGCTCTTAGAACCGACTATACCAATTTATGGGATAAACAGAGGACCACGTGAAACAAAACCATTAGGATGCCATAAGCAAAATTCAGACTATAAAAAACTCTACAGGACAAACAACGCAGTTTCTGCAACAAATATGAAAATGTAAAAGGGAAAGAGACAGAGAATGAGAAAGAATGAGAGAGGGAGAGAGATCAACCAGTCACAACGTGTGGATGTTATTTGGACCCTAATTCAAAAAACAGTACATAATAAACCAACAAACGTTTATAACATTTGAGAGAAAATTTAAAATGTGAAAAGACTGGTTATTTGATGACATTCAAGAATTAGTGGCTAGCTAGGTGCCAGGCGTCTGTAATCCCAGCACTTTTGAATGCTGAGGCAAGAGGATCTCTTGAGCCCAGGAATTCGAGGCTGCAGTGAGCTATGATCACACCACTGCACTCCAGCCTGGGCAACAAAGTGAGACCCCGTCTCTGGGAGATGGTGGGGGAAAGGCTTGGCATGGTGGCTCAGACTTATAATCCCAGTGCTTTGAGATGCTGAGGTGGAAGGATCGTTTGAGCCCGAGAGTTCAAGACCAACCTGGGCAACATGACAAGACGTCATCTCTACTAAAATTAAGAAAAAAAAAAAGCCAGGCATGGTGGCTCACGCCTGTAGTCTCAGCTACTCAGGAGGTGGGAGGATTGCTTAAAGCCTGGGAGTTTGAGGCTGCAGCAAGCCAGGACTGTACCACTGCACTCCAGCTTGAGTGCCAGAGTGAGACCCTGTCTTGAAAACAAAAGGAAGAAAAAATAATTATTAATTTTAAGGGTGTGATAATACTACCGTAGATATGCCAAAAATAGTTATCTTTTAGAGTTATATGCTTAAAACATTTGTGGGTAAAATAAAATAAGGTCATCAGGGCTTTTCATCAAGCCAACATGAAAGGGGAGAAGGGAAAGGGGCACAGATGAATAAGACTGGCCATGAGTAGATACGGGTGAAGCTGGGTGATGACGGAAGTTAATTGTTGTAGTCTGTTTACTTTTACATGCTTGAAAATTTCCTATGATAAAAAAAAAAGTTGTTTTAACATGAAAATGCTTCAATTCCTCTCACTGAGAGTAAAAGTCAAACTCCTGCCACAAGGCCTGCCATGATGATCTCTGGTGCTACCTCTTGATCCCTCCTCTCCTAACACTCTGCCCCAACCACCCCCTGTTCCAGTCACACTGACCTCCACACTGTGCCCAAACACCGCAGCCATGTGCCCTTTTGTGAGCCTTACACCAGATCCTCTCTGCTTGAAGTGCTCACTCCCCAGATGGCCTGCCTGGCTATCCCTCTCCCCTCTTTGAAGTCTTTGCTAGAATGTTGCTTTCTCACTAGTTCCCCTGACTAGCATATTTTTAATTGCAACTTTCCTTCCCACACTCTAGCATTTTTATTTCTCCTTAAAATGCTCTATGTTTTTCTCATAGTACTTATCCTCTTCCAAACATACTATAGAATTTACTTATTTGTTATGTTTATTATTTCCTTTCTGTTCCATCCATGGAAGTGTAAACTCCACAAAAGCAGAGACTGTTTATCTGCTTTGTTCACTTACATATTTTCTGTGTTCATGATAGTGACTGGCACACACAATCAGAGAACAATAAATATGTGCTGAAAGAACTGAATAAAATGAATAATAAGTACCATAACATACACATGTACAAAGCACCATAAACACAGAGATGACAGTACAGCTAACTTAGATGTTTGGGCGAACTGGAAAATAAACCTGAAACCCTAAAGCTAAACTTTTCTCTCTTAAATATTAGAATATGTATTGTGAGGCTGATATTTTAAATCGTATTAGTGTATGTATGTATGTGTGTGTATATATATATACATATATATTTTTTTTTTTTTGAGATGGAGTCTTGCTCTCTTGCTAGGCTGGAGTGCAGTGGCACCATCTCAGCTCACTGCAACCTCTGCCTCCTGGGTTCAAGCAATTCTCATGCCTCAGCCTTCCAAGCAGCTGGGATTACATGCATGTGCCACCATGCCTGGCTAATTTTTGTATTTTTAGTAAAGACAGGGTTTCACCATGTTGGCCAGGCTGGTCTCAAACTGCTGACCTCAAGTGGTCTGTCCACCTCAGCCTCCCAAAGTGCTAGGATTAAAGGCATGAGCCACTGCTCCCAGCCTTAAATAGTATTAGTTTTTAACTTTAAATTTATGTATGATATAGCTTTTGCCTCTGACATATGGCTTCTCCAAACTGACATCATGAATTGTCCTATCCGTCGCAGTATAAAATGAATGCAGCATTTTCTCACTCATGAAAGCAAATCAATGAAAAGAGTAGTAACTGTCCAGTTTGCTTCTTTATTAAAACATAGTAAAGATTTAATCCACAGGTACATCACTAAGAATAGAAAATAACACTGAGTTTTGTTGCTATTGGCTATGCAATTTACCCTGGCCCAGACAGAGAGGACTTATCAGGAAATACGAGGATCTATATTTTAAGCAAAGCCTGTAAACTTCTCACTCAATGAATCCCAACAATTTTTAACAAATAATATTCCCTATTTTTTAACATCAAAAGTTTTCATGAGGCCAGGCATGGTGGCTCACGCCTGTAATCCCAGTACCTTGGGAGGCCAAGGTGAGTAGACTGCCCGAGCTCAGGATTTCAAGACCAGCCTGGGCAACATGGTGAAAACCTGGTATCTACAAAAAATACACAAATTAGACAGACATGGTGGTGCATGCCTGTGGTCCCAGCTACTTGGGAGGCTGAGGTGGGAGGATCGCTTGAGCCTGGGAGGCGGGGGTTGCAGTGAGCCAAGATCGTGCCACTGCACTCCAGCCTGGGTGACAGAGTGAGAGACACTGTCTCAAAAAAGAAAAAAAAAAAAAGTTCGCATGAACCCCCCCAATAGTTGTTATAATTTTAATATATGATAATTGGGGGCAATACATAATAACAGAAAGCTATGAACTAAGCAATACTAAATGAAGTTTAATTTTCCAAGCCACAACTATTATGCACATTTAAAACACAATTACATAATTTTTTAAAATTTAGCCTACATACAATGCTTATGAAACATAAATTCACACATCCCATGCAATAACCCTAAATCGTCCCAGAAGTGCAAGATCTACAGGATGACACCAGTGGCATAACATATCCCAAATATTCCTTATGGATCACTGAACCTTTAGGATGATGTCTTACAAACGGGAATATCACTTGTAGTAATATAATCTAAAGACAAAAATAGCTCAGTAATTTTTTTAAAAAAGCTCTTTAGAGTCAGACTGTCTGAATTCAAATCCTAGATCTACCAGTTTCTAACATACCTTAAAAGTTATCCCTACACTTTATTTCCCTCATCTATAAGAAAAAAAAAGATAATACTAGTACTTCCTTCACAGGATTATTATGAGGATTCAATGAGTTAATGTGTGTGAAGCACTTGGTACCTAAGGAAACATGTAAGTGTTGTTGCGGTTCATAAGTTTAATTCTAGAGTTTAGCCTCCTGTCCCTCAAAGTGTGATATAAACTCACCATGTTTTATTTCCCTTTGTTACTACCATTCAGAAAGACAAAGCTGAAAAAGGAAAGTCTCAAAAACACCCTACTGGGAAACAGTTAAACTATAAACATATGTTTACTAACAGGCTGTACTGACACAGTAGGCTACATACCATTTTGGCAGGCCTGACAACTGTGCAGTATTTATAAGAAGAGTTATGAAATGTGGCATATAGATATATAAAGGCATATTGGCATAAAGTTTATGCCAAACTTTAGGCATAAACTTTATTTTTTCCAGAGCATTTTTCTTTAATACCACTGAGGACAATTCTAGCTGCCCCTTCCTTTCCAACAAAGCCAGCTTCAATAAAAATGAAAACACTAACAACTTCATTTGAGGCTGAACTTTAAGAAATCCTTTAAATGCAAAATTAAGTCCATCCCTGCTTCATATTTAATTTGCAACAGGATATCTAGCAGCTGTCGAGGGACCAGGTCGAGGGACCTGGAAGGGGTTGCTGGCTGATGACTGGGTGCCTGCTGAGATGGGCTCCATATACAGGTAATACTCAATTGCAGACAAAATCTTAAGACCTACATCTCACTCTCCTTTAAAGTTAATCTGAACACACTGTACATGAAAGGAAATGAAAAAGGAGTTTTTCTCCTTTACCATGGCATTGGGACTTCCTGAGTTTTTCATTCCATTACTGATTGGTCCAGAATGATTTCCTTCTAACTATTCCCAATTGTGTATGTCAGACATAATTAGGACTGTACACTAGAGAAGTGTTAAAATGTAATAATGCCATTAAATCTGAGAAATATTTTTTACTTTAACCCTCAGTATATCAGGAAGAATAGCTAGTACCAGTTAACATCTGGCTCCAATGGAACCTTTATATTGTTAAGCCATTTAATGAAGAATGCATAGAACTATGAATAAAAAGATAGTGAAAACAATTTTATTAGAAATATAGGCTGGGCACAGTGGCTCATGCCTGTAATCCCAGCACTTTGGGAAGCCAAGATGGGTGGATCACCTGAGGTCAGGAGTTTGCGATCAGCCTGGACACCATGGTGAAACCCCGTCTCTACTAAAAATACAAAAATTAGCTGGGTGTGGTGATGGGTGCCTGTAGTCTCAGCTACTCGGGAGGCTCAGCCTCAGGAGAATCACTTGAACCCAGTAGGTGGAGGTTGCGGTGGGCCCAGATTGCACCAGTGCACTCCAGCCTGGAAGACAGAGCGAAACTCTTGTCTCAAAATTAAGAAAAAAAGAAGTTTTAACAAGAATCTAAACATACCAGGCATGGTAGCTCACATCTGTAATCCCAGCACTTTGGGAAGCCAAGGTGGGAGGATCACTTGAACCCAGGAGTTTGAGACCAACCAGGGCAACACAGCAAGACTCTGTCTCTACAGAAATAAAAAAAAATTAGCTGGATGTGGTAACACATGCCTGTAGTTCCAGCTACCCAGAAGGCTGAGGCGGAAGATCCCTTGAGCCCAGGAAGTCAGGGCTTCAGGGAGCTATGACTGCACCACTGCGCTCCAGCCTGTACGACAGGGCAAGACTCTGTCTTAAAAAAAAGAATTTAAACACATGTAACCTTTTGTGTCAGGTAAATTTTGGTGCTTAACAGCATAAAATATTTTTAAACTCTCATATATTCTTTCAGAACAGGATGGTCTAGGTTCTTGTCACAAAAATATTATTGCATGATAAAGTCCTTTTGAATGACTAGATGAGAGACCATATTTCTTGTTTGTTCTTAGACATATGTCAATTCATATTGACAAATATGAAATATTATCAGATGTCATCCTAGAGGAATTTTCTTATAATTCTTCTAGGATGTTGTAATCTGAAGACCCAGAGTCTGAAATTTCACTTATATGGCCAATTCCATTATAATCCTCATCAGCCAGAAATGCTATCTCTTTGCATTTATTTTGATTTGTTTAATAACTGTGAAACATGTCAATTTTTTTCTTGTCCATTTTAAGCTGAAAATGAAAAATTCTAAATTTCAACTGTATTCAAATGAAAGCTATAAGCAGACTAAAAAGAAGGTGTTTCCAGTCCTTTTTAATCTATTCTTGAAATATAATGTTCTGGGTCTCACACAGTAAGAAAATGAAGGATGACAATCTATTTCACTATTGTATCATTATTACTTAGGTGATTTCATCATTCTTCCACTTATTATTTTAGTCTTTTTTAGCATATTTGGAAATAACTGATGAGTAATGATGAATGATAATAATTCCTACAACGATAAAATAGTAAAATGTTTCAAGATGCAGGAAATATGATCCCTGAAGTCTCATCATGTCTTAGCTTTATAGGAGGTCCAGTGGATATTTGGTGACAGCAAAAGAGAATGAATTTTTTTCAGTTTTTTTAAATGATCATTTTTCTCCTTTTTTGTTAGCCTCTAGGAAAGAATAAAAATCATGAAATGCCAATCTTTTCAACTAGTCAAAACCACTCAAAACTGTAATAGTTAAAACTGTTCAAAAACAAAACTTGAAAACTAAACTGGAGCCAGTGGACCCAAACAGTACACCAAGGGTTAAGAACACTTTCCTCAAATTATGTTAAATGTTGGTACCAGAAGAACTAAAAATCACAAATGCAGATAAAGCAACTATCAAATTAGAAACATTATTTTAAATGAAAGGACAGAATATAATGGGTATTCTATATTACCAGTAGTACTGTAAATTAATACAATACTTTTTGAAGAAATTTTATCAAAAACTATTTTTAAAAACTTCATCCTTTTGGCCGGGCGCAGTGGCTCATGCCTGTAATGCCAGCACTTCGGGAGGCCAAGGCGGGCAGATCACGAGGTCAGGAGATCGAGACCGTCCTGGCTAACACGGTGAAACCCCATCTCTACCAAAACACAAAAAATTAGCTAGGCGTGGTGGCGGGCGCCTGTAGTCCCAGCTACTTGGGAGGCTGAGGCAGGAGACTGGCGTGAACCCAGGAGGCGGAGCTTGCAGTGAGCCGAGATTGCGCCACTGCACTCCAGCCTGGGTGACAGGCGAGACATTGCCTCAAAAAAAAAAAAAAAAAACAAAAACACACAAACCACTTCATCCTTTTAAACTCAGAAATCAAACTTTTTCAACCATAAGAAATAATCTGTTGCCTTCAACGCATTTGAAAAGAAACAAATAGAAATAAAAATTAAAAACAAAAAATCTGAAATGTCAAGAAAGCAATGCTATTCACATAAGTTAAAAATCAGAAAAGACTAAGATGCTCAATACTAAGGAATGGCCTCTCACACGGCCAATTGAAAATGATGCTGAGATTATACAGCCACACGGAGTAAGGCTCTTCATCTTCATTTCAGATGAGACCTCTCACCTTCACTCTAAATCTGATCAGATACTGCTATAATACTCACAGATATTCACCAAGCAAGCATTTAAGATAAAAATATTTCACAAACATAAATATTTTCACATTACCACCTATCTCAAACACATTCTCGCTTCCACATACCCTTTCGTGACTAACAGAACCACCCAAACCAAATCATTTCAGTGCATTTTATGCACTTTGGGTTCACCCCTACCCCTAGCACTGCCCAGCAAATAGAAATTAATGACTAGCATATAGTAAGTGACTTAATTAAACGAAAAACGGAGGACATAAAATTCAACACTACACTTAAGCTATGCTAAAGCAGGAACCGTGTGCACACACACACGCACACACACAAAGACCTGGAGGGCGGCGTCAAAAAAATAACAGCAGTTATATTCCAGTGGGAGATTTTTTTTTTTTGGTAGTTCCCACATTTCAACTAAAAATTTTAAAACAAAATGACACACCTCCCAAATTGTTTAATCTAAGCTAGTAAAAAAACAATACACTTTGAAATGCTATTCCAGGGAGACTGCTGGGACACTGGTGTAATCATACATTCATTACGGCACTGTAAACTGATACAACTCTTTTGGAAATCAATGGGTAATATGTGTCAAAAACCATAAATGTGTTTATACCTTTGACCTAAAAACTTCTACCCTGGGAATTTATCATAAGGAAATAATATAAAAGAAAAACATGTGCAAAGATATTTGATGCAACATTGCAATATTTTAAAATATTAAAAATGCCCAACAATAAGCGATTGGCTAAGTAACTAATGGCATATTCTTTTAAAAATAGGAAATACAAAAAATACACAGGAACAAGGAAAACATAACAAATGATACGTTAAAAAAAAGCAGAACATAAATAATGCTGAATAAAAAGAGCAAAACTAAGTTGTGTTAACTGATCCAGCTAGCTAAATATTATGTTCATAATGGAAAAAGACAGGCATAGACTAAAAAGAAGAAAAGCTGGCCAGGCACGGTGGTTCATGCCTGTAATCCCAGCACTTTGGAAGGCCGAGGCAGGCGGATCACAAGGTCAGGAGATGGAGACCATCCTGGCCAACATGGTGAAACCCCATCTCTACTAAAATACAAAAAAATTAGCTGGGTGTGGTGGCACACACCTGTAATCCCAACTACTCAGGAGGCTGAGGCAGGGGAATCGCTTGAACCCAGGAGGCGGAGGTTGCAGTGAGCCGAGATCGCGCCACTGCACTCCAGCCTGGTGACAGAGCAAGACTCCGTCTCAAAAAAAAAAAAAAAAAGAACAAGAAGAAGAAGAAAAGCTGCTGTGTCAGAATGAGAGAACTGTGTTAATGTTTTTAAAGCATGTTGTACTGGGACTCTAGTAATAATGTTTAAAAATCAAAACATGGAAGGAAAATGGACAATAATGGACAGTAATTTAAATTTCTGAATAGAAAATCTACAGTTTCAGATAGGATATCACAAAGCCTTTATTAAAAGAAATTCTGTTTTAGGTAAGTTTCCTCAAGGCAAATAAATATTAAGTATATTCATACGTAACTATTCTCACAAAGTTCCAGAGACGCTAAATTATGAACAAATTGTTACTATCCTTTCTAAAACAAGGCATCAATGACTAAAGTTGTATGCTTTTTCTCAAGATTTTAAAACATTCTTTGACATTTAATTGGATATTCATTAACACTAACAGAAATTGAAAGAGTGCCACCTACTGAATTGTAATCACTTCCATATAAAACAGTCCGTTTTCTTATTTATACTGCAAAATTTGAAGTCCACAAAGAGTAAAATGGATGATAAAATTTAACTAACAAGAGTGTATTTAACCATTATATTTTCACTACATAATATGTAGTGAAAATGAATTATAAATTTAAACCAAGTCTGATTACATGGGAGAAATAATCAATTAATGCATGTTAATTGTATGTGTGACATAAGCACAAAATATCAATAATTAAGCAACACAATTATCCAACGACTGATCACAGTGCTCAAAAAAAAAAAAAGAGTGAGAAAGAGATAGGGGAGACACACAACAGGGAGAGAGAAATATTATTATACTTTTTTCCTGTGGTAAAACTAGATACGAATAACTACATTTAAGTAGTATTTTAAATAAAACATCTTCAATATGACTAAGGGTTCAAAAAAGATTAAAAGTTACTTAAACCTGTAGATGACTACAACTAAAAGCAGATCAAAAAATGATGGAAGACAAATGCAGACATTTAAAAGATGACTGTAAGCTGGGAACGGTGGCTCATGCCTGTTATTCCACCACTTTAGGAGGCTGAGTGGGGAGGATCGCTTGAGCCCAGGAGTTCAAGACCAGTCTAGGCAACACAGCAAGAGCCCATCTCTACAAAAAAAAAAAAAAGTTAGCTGGGCATGGTGGTGCAAGCTGGTAGTCCCAGCTACTAAGGAGGCTGAGGTGGGAGGATTGCTTGAGTCTGGGAATTTGAGGCTGCAGTAAGCTATATGCACCCCAGCCTGGGTGACAGGGAAAGACCCTGTCTCAAGAACATATTCACAAGGTCTGGCCTGTGCAGCTTCTGCGCAGTTCCATGGGAAAGGCAGAGGAGAGCCTCACTTAACCAGAAAGCAGTAAAAGCCCCAGACAGACACAGACTACGCCCTAGCAGGTGCAAAGCATGTCAGAATTCCCAGATTAGAAAGAATTCCGGAGGATATTATTGCAAATGCATATATTTACTGTACTGTAAGCGTTTCTTCAGAAAACAAAGTATGACAACCATTACATTCAGTGCTGAGATTTTTCAGGAACAGACTGTAAATGTGGGCCTGCCCTTGGAAAATCATATCTAAGATCTGTAAAAATATACGACATTTATATCTAATTTGATTATAATAATTATCCAATGGAGGTTACTATTCCCATTTTACAAATGATGGAATTTGGGCTTGGAAGAGGAAATAACAGATATATCTTATTGGGGAGAAAGTTAAAACATGGCTTTGAACTGTCACGCTTCAATGACATACCAAGCTATTAAATTTTTGGTAGACATGACAATAGTGACCATTAGGTATCATCGGACAAATATATATATATATAGCTTTAAGCCCGCATCTAAAAAATTTAAGGTTATTGTTTAATCTTTTAGAACAAAACTGATTTTAGTTCTTCTTTTACAGCAATTCTGTTCTAGGAACTCAAAGAATATTAATTCAAGGCTGGGTGTGGTGGCACACACCTGTAATCCCAGCACTTTGGGAGGCCAACGCTGGAAGACTGGTTGAGCCTTGCAGTTCAAGACCAGCCAGGGCAATATACTGAAACCTCATCTCTACAAAAAATTAAAAAATTAGTTGAGTGTGGTGGTGCATGTCTGTGATCCCAGCTGGTGGTAGGACTGCTTGAGCCCGGGAGGCAGAGGTTGGAGTGAACTACGATCGTGCCACAGCACTTCAGCCTGGGTGACAGAGGAAGACTCTGTCTCAAAAAAAAAAAAAAACAAAAAAAAAAACAAAAAAAAAAAACAATATTAATTCAATATCCTACAATGACAAACAGGGCCATCTTTAATTAAATAGGGTACTCACGCAACTCAATGAACGATAGGAGGGCCTCTGCCTCCCACATCGGGCGTGGTGCCTGGCCAACATAGGCAGTCATTTGGTAAAAGCCCACCATCCACCTGATTTAAAGCAAGTGTACCTGCTGCCCTTAACATAAGCAACCAAGTCTGCCCTGGGTACGAGGTTCGTGTCATGTTTTACAATCCTGAGCTCTACCTGATTATTTAAAAAAAATAAATAAAAAGTTTTGTTAGAGGATTGCCTGCAGACTATAAGGTCCATTCTAAATTCTCACTCCAGATCTGGCCAGTCTGTTTAAGATCTGGATATTTAGATATCTGATTACCTAGCCAATCTCCCAAGCTTGAAACCTAGGCTCCTCTCTGTAGCACATCCTCTACAATTTATCTATCTCCAAATCCTGACCATCCAATATCTCCCAAATTTGGTCCTTCCTATCATGTCCCTTGGGTGACTACCACAAGCTTTATCAAGACTCTTCCAGTGACATCTCCTCTTGAGTCCATCCTTCTCAGTACCAACAGAATTTATAATGAAATCATCCTAACCCCCTACTTAAAAAATATCCATTGATTCCCTTATTCCTGTAAGCACACTAGGTTAGAGACCTCTGATGTTTATAGTACTGGAGCACTCTGTTTTCCTTTAAGAATCCCAAATTATAATTTTAAATAGTATATAAACATGAGTCCAGCCCTTCTTTCCCCAAGTAGACTGTAAGCTCTAGGAAAGCAGGGAAGGACCTCTATTTCTTTACCTCTCTTTTCAGAAATAAGCAGTGAGCCTGCAGACAGCAGGCTCTCCACAGCTCCTTGACGAATGAAGGAAGGAAACAATTATTTTGAATTTACTTTTGGCACCAATGGCACACCATCAGTATATAACCACCGTAAAAGAAGCAAATAACTTGCTATTATTTTATCTGAAATAGGAAAGCTCTAGGCCGGGCGCGGCAGCTCACGCCTGTAATCCCAGCACTTTGGTAGGCCGAGGTGGGCGGATCACCTGAGGTCAGGAGTTCCAGACCAGCCTGGCCAACATGGTGAAACCCCCTCTCTACTAAAAATACCAAAAATTAGCCAGGTGTGGCAGCGTGTGCCTGTAATCCCAGCTACTTGGGAGGCTGAGGCAGGAGAATAGCTTGAACCTGGGAGGTGGAGGTTGCAGTGAGCCGAGATCACGCCATTGCACGCCAGCCTGGGCAACAAGAGCAAAACTCCATCTCAAAAAAAAAAAAGAAAGAAAGAAAAGAAAACATGAAATAGCAAAGTTCTATGTGGCTGTAAGCAGTCATTAGCTAAATAAAAGGCAATGAGTACACTGTTCAATTTCAGATTCAAATTCAAGAAAGCAAGACAAAGTAAGTCCTAACTTACAGCAAAAGTACTAACTTTGGGGTCTTACACTGAGCCAGCCACAAGCATGTATTGCCTGCTCCTCCTTGATATTCCCGTCTTCCCCTCACACACGTGGGAAAATTTCCAAAAACCGTAAGCACAGATAAAGAAATGTTAAATTTCTGGCAAATTCTAAATTTAGAAAAAAAACCAATCTTTTTTTTTTTTTTCATTCTGGATGCCTAGAAGAGAGAAGTAGACAAATTTGGTGTTTATAGTAAATATCAAAACACTCATTTTCCAGGCCGGGCGCGGTGGCTCATGCTTGTAATCCCAGCACTTTGGGAGGCCGAGGCGGGCGGATCACAAGGTCAGGAGATCGAGACCATCCTGGCTAACACGGTGAAACCCCATCTCTACCAAAAATACAAACAATTAGCCAGGCGTGGTGGCGGGCGCCTGTAGTCAGAGCTATTCAGGAGGCTGAGGCAGGAGAATGGCGTGAACCCATGAGGTGGAGTTTGCAGTGAGCCGAGATGGCGCCACTGCACTCCAGCCCGGGTGACAGTGTGAGACTCCGTCTCGAAAAAAAAAAAACACTCATTTTCCTAAGATACTTCATAGAATTACTTTGTTAATTTAGAAACATTAAAACTTAAAAAAAAAATTTTTCAATCCCTTAAATACTCCCCCATCCAAAAATCTCTTACTATAGCATTGGAAATGTGCTTCTGTTTTTATAAATCCAGATAAATTAAAGGAAAAACCTTTTTGAAAGGCAGAGAATTTTGGCAAAGTCCATTTAAATTTGTAAAGTCCCTCTCAATCTGTGTATGCTGGGACTTCTACTCTCCATGCTGACTGCTGACATGTATACACCTCCGCTGAGGCGCTAAATCTTGCTGGCCTGAATGTAAAGCAAGAGACACAGAGATTTCTAAAAGATCTACTTCAATCTTTATGCTGTCAGTAAAAAATCATTCCTGAGGATAACAAGAATAAGCAGAAAAAGTAACCTGAATAGAAGAATAAGATGTTAACAAAACACAATTAAAAAAAAAATAATTGTACTCAAGAAACCAATTTGAAAGGAAAAGAAACAAACGAAGAGCCACAATACAAGCCTTTGTTCTTCTATCTGTGCCCTTGAGAATAATGCCAGGGCCATGAATGATACACAGAAGATGGGGCCAAGACTATGAAACCTGGGATCCCACTGTCACCTCTATCACTTCGCAGCCATGTGACTTTGGACAAGCTAATTTTTGCGACTGCTCCTCCATTATTCTGAAAAACTTTCCCTAAGAACAGGAGTCAGTAAGTTTCTCCATGTCTTGAATTCAACTCTCATAGAGTAGCAGGACCATAGGTTTTCTGCCAAAAAAATGGTGAAATGGAGAATGAGTGTAGGACTTAAAGAGAAAGCAAGACCTGGGTAAGTTACAGAGGCAAATAAAACCAGCAATTATAACAAAATATATGAAGTATGATGGTAGAGATATATATTATACGGGCGCTCAAAGAAGCCAGGGTGGGCATGGTGATGGACGAGAACTCCATGCCAGCATGAGCTGACCCAGGTACATAGTTATTTTTGGGAAACATCAGCAGTTTAATGATTCTGGAAGGTAAAGCACGAAGCAACGAGGGGCAAGTAACTAACATGTCAAGTGGGCAGGAGTCCGATCACACAGGGCCCTGTAGGTTTATGCTAAGACACGTGTACTGAACACCACAGGCATATCCCAACATCAGCCCTTGGTACGATTTCAGCTGCAATTATCTGGCTCAGATGCTGCTGGATTTAAAAACAAAACAAAACAAACAAACCAAAAAAAAAAAAAAACAAGCAATGCCTCCAGACAACTTCCCTAGATACACAGAAGGAACGTTCCCCAGACCCTGGAACTCCAGCCTAACAAGGTAATGAACAGGAAGGTATCTGAGAGGGCCAAGAGAGAGGCAGCCAGATCCTTAACTAGGAGGCTGGGTGTGGAGGAGGCTTATAGCGTCGGATGTTAGGGGGCCAGAAGGTATTCAAGAAGCCTGCCTGCCCATTAAGAAAACCAGCTTGGCCAGGCACAGTGGCTCACGCCCATAATCCCAACACTTTGAGAGGCCTAGGTGGGTGGATCACCTGAGGTCAGGAGTTTGAGACCAGCCTGGCCAACATGGTGAAATCCCACCTCTACAAAAATTACAAAAATTAGCCAGGCGTGGTGGTGCACACCTGTAATTTCAGCTACTTGGAAGGCTAAGGCAGGAGAATCGCTCAAACCCGGGAGGCAGAGGTTGCAGTGAGTCGAGATCAGGCCACTGCACTCTGGCCTGGGCAACAGAGTGAGACTCTGTCTCAAAAACAAACAAACAAACAAACAACAACAACAAAAAAAAACAAAACTGGCTTGGTAAAGGTACTCTTCTGCTTAGGACAGTCCTGGCCAAGCAGGGACTTCCAAACAACAGCAGAAAGGCCAAAATGGGGAGAGAGGAATATCTCACTCATCTCTCTATATTCAACACCAGTTCCTTGTGTAGGATCCGACTCATGGCAGGTACCCATACACACAGCACTGAACGGAGTCAACTAAACCCTAATCCAGCTTTGCTCCCAATTCCCAATGCAACACGAGGCAGGTTAATTCAATTATGATTTTTAAACTTCCATTTCTCCTTCCATAAATGGGAATGATAGCAGCATCTGCCTTTAGGACCTGTTTCAAGATTAAATGAGATAATGTTTATGAATATATTATGTGATATCAAGGATAAATTATTTGATGGCTGCTTTTACATACACAAACATTATTTTAGCAACTGAAAGCCATGCAAATATCTTCATTAACATTCCTCTATTAAATCAGTAAGTAATCTACGTTGTAAGAATAAACATCTTTTCTCTTGAATAACTACAGCTATTCCCTTTTTATTTTTTTGAGACAGGGTCCCACTCTGTCACCCAGGCTGGAGTGCAGTGGCTCACTGCAGCCTCAGCCTCAACCTCCCAGACTCAAGTGATCCCCCTACCTCAGCCTCTGAGTACTTACACCACCTCAGCCTCTCAGGCTTACATCACCACTCTTGGCTAATTGTTTTATTTTTTATTTTTTCTGAGACAGAGTCTTGCTCTTTTGCCCAGGCTGGAGTACACTGGTGCAATCTCAGATCACTGCAACCTCTGCCTCCCAGGTTCAAGCAAATCTTGTGCCTCAGCCACCCGAGTAGATGAGATTACAGGCACGCACCACCACGCCCAGCTAATTTTTGTATTTTTAGTAGAGACGAGGTTTCGCCATGCTGGCCAAGCTGGTCTTGAACTCCTGGCCTCAAGTGATCAGCCCGCCTCAACCTCTCAAAGTGCTGAAATTACAGGCATGAGCCACCACACCCAGCTGACTTTTTTTTTTTTTTTTGCCCAGACTGGAGCACAGTGGTGCAATCTCGGCTCACTGCAACCTCCACCTCCCTGGTTCAAGCAATTCTCCTGCCTCAGCCTCCCGAGTAGCTGGGACTACAGGCCCATGCCACCATGTCCAGCTAAATTTTGTATTTTTAGTAGAGACAGGATTTCACCCTGTTGGCCAGGCTGGTCTTGAACTCCTGACTTCAAGCAATTTGCCCACCTTGGCCTCCCAAAGTGCTGGGATCACAGGTGTGAGCCACCACGCCTGGCCAGATTTTTAAATTTTTTATAGAAACAAGGTCTCACTATGTTGTCCAGGCTGGTCTCAAATTCCTGGGCTCAAACGATCCTCCTGCCTTGGCCTCCCAAGTGCTGGGATTATAGGCATGAGCCATCACACTCAACCAAAGCTCTTTTCATTTTGATGCAAAAAAGAAAACTCCTCTCCATAGGTATTTTTGGTAACTGTAAGCAGTTGGAGAGCCAACAAAGTGTTTTATAATGTGGGATGTGTTAATTTTTTGTCTAATAGTTTCGTTTAGAGGATAAGGACAGTTCAGACAAGAGATAAAGGTTTAAACAAAGGAAGTGATGCAATAATATTTTGGAAATTTTTTAAGAAAGAAAATTAGCAGAATTAGAGATAGGGAATGAAGGAGAATGAGAGAAGAGGTCAATGCTAATTCTCATGTTTCTAGCTTAGGTGACTGAGTAGAGATGGTGCCACCAACTGAGATGGATAACACAGGTGTATTCGTGGTAAGAAAATGTGGAAATGGGCCGGGTGCAGTGGCTCACGCCTGTAATCCCAGCACTTTGGGAGGCCAAGGTGGGCAGATCACCCAAGGTCGGGAGTTCAAGACCAGTTTGACCAACATGGAGAAACCCCGTCTCTACTGAAAATACAAAATTAGCTGGGCTTGGTAGCTCATGCCTCTAATCCCAGGTACTCGGGAGGCTGAGACAGGAGAATCACTTGAACCAGGGAGCCGGAGGTTGTGCCATTGTACTCCAGCCTGGGCAACAAGAGCGAAACTCCGTCTCAAAAAAAAAAAAAAGAAAGAAAAAAGAAAACGTGGAAATGGCCAACTGCAACTGGTTGCAGGGTCTGAGAGGTGGATGTAGAGGGACAGTTTGGGGAGGCATCAGCATACAGATGGGGGTTCAAACTATGAGAGTAGGAAAGTCAACTCTGAAACTAAGTAACGTGAGAAACATAGTAGGTGAAGGATAAAATTTTAGAAGCACCAATGTTTTAGCAGTAGGAGAGCCAGGGAAGACGTGCCCAAGAAAGGCCCCAAGATGGAGCTCATCATATAAGGAGAGTTAAGGGAGTATGATGGCGCTGAAGAAAAGCAGCTTCAGGAATTGCCCAACAGTGATGAAAGCAGCAAAAAGCTTCAATAAGGGGAATCCTGGGAAGAAAGTGGTAGCTGGGGCAAGGTAGTTTGTGCATCTTCCCAACATAACCAGGTGACAGAGTACACCCATCAGTGCCAAAATACATGCA
Organism: Homo sapiens; assembly: GCF_000001405.40. Classification (NCBI taxonomy): domain Eukaryota; kingdom Metazoa; phylum Chordata; class Mammalia; order Primates; family Hominidae; genus Homo; species Homo sapiens. The sequence continues at coordinate 7,835,841 of NC_000010.11, read as the reverse complement.
GGTGACAACATGCCACCAAGCGCCATGAGACCCGAGTATGAGGCATCTATGCAAGGGAAACAGTGAGAAGCAACGGGAAGACTGACCTGAAACAGGAAAACCCCAAAAGGGCCACCAGGCCTCTGCTGGAAAGCCCGGCAGGCCAACCCGAGAAGAGCGGCTGAGGCTGGGAAGGATGGGACCACTTCCAGTACAGGGAGTACAAGGGGCTGAGTGAGATCCAATGGGGCTAGAAGTTGAGCCCAGGAGCTCTCAGACTTGACCCTGGCTGCTCTCTGCCAGGACAGAGCCTCGCTGAGAGGACACAGCTGGCAGTGGAATCACAGCTGGCCAGAAAAAGGAAAACTGACATGAAGGGAAGAGAAGATCCAGGTAAAAGTGGTGGAGGAAAACAAACAAAAAATCTCAGTGAGCAAGTTCCCATATTTGGAACATTCCGCAAAAACGATAGAAGAGGGAGCACTGCAAAGTCAGAGGAGCTACCCTGAATCTCCTTCTAAAGCAAGCTTGTCAACCCACAGCCCATGGGCCATATGCGGCCCAGGACGGCTTTGAATGCAGCCCAACACAAAGTTGTAAACTTTCTTAAAACATTATGACTTTTTTGTGTGTGACTTTTTTTTCTAGCTCAGCAGCTATCGATGGTGTTAGTGTATTTTATGTGTGGCCAAAGACAATCCTTCTTCTTCCAGTGTGACCCAGGGAAGCCAAAAGATTGGACACCTGTGTTCTAAAGGCTCAGAAAACTAACTCACATATAGTTTCTATAAAGAAGAGAAGACTAAATAGCAAAACATCCCTCCAGACAATGAAAGTACGAGAGAAACACACACTCGAAAAAACTGATGAACCTATAATGTTCTATCTTGAAATGATCTAAAAGACATGAAAGTATATAAATCAAAATCAGAAAAAACTCAGAAATTAGGTAGCAGAACTCAAGACAGTAGCTATATGATCTGACAAGATACACACGGTAAAATGAAAGAAAATTGGTTTCATAGGACAGAATGAGCAAAAAAAATTTTTTTTACCTGTTTCAGTAATCATGAATGATAGTATCAGTTGCAATATTGTACGTGTAATCTGGGATAAAGCAAATGAATAATTATGGAATATTCTAATTTTATCATCTTCTTTATTCCTGAGAACCAGAATTCTCAGTATGGATGACAGTATTTATGGATGTAACATAAAAAATAAAAACCTTGTAGTCCTAAATATGAATTGGAAAATCTGCATGAACTCAGGAGGAACCCTATCCACCTATCTATCTATTCACACACATCTACATGTATATAAATATTTATTTACTTATTGCCTAGAAACAATGAACAACCGAGTTATATATAATAAGTATCCCTTAGCACCGAGACTGTGTACTTGAAATGCTATTTCCCAGCGTGGAGACAACTGGATATCCATATGCAGAAGAATGAAATTGGATCCTTATCTCATACCACTTAGAAAAATCAACTCAAAATGGAATAAAGACCTAAATGTAAGACTTGAAACTACAAAACTGCTAAAAGAAAACATAGGGGAAAAACTGTAAGACACTGGTCTGGGCAATTATTTTTTATATTTGGCCCCAAAAGCGCAGGGTGACAAAAGCAAAACTGAACAAATGGGATTCCATCAAAATAAAAAGCTTTGGCACAATAAAGGAAACAGCAGAGTGAAGGCACAACCTGTGGGTGAGGAGGAAAACACGTGCACCCACACATCTGACAAGGGGCTCACGCCCAAAACATGTAAGCAACTCAACAACAACAAGAGCCACAACCACCACCAAAAAAAAAGGCAAAATATATAAGGAACCCAAACAACTCTATAGAAAGAACAGTCTGGCTGTTGTCCTGTGCCGGAGGACAGCAGGCAGCCATGGTGCCCAGCGGGAATGGCAAGATCTTGAAGCCCCACTTCCACACGCACTGTGCAGCGGCTGAAGGGGTACCGCTCCAAACTCATCCTCTTCCCCAGGAAGCCCTCGGTCCCCAGGAAGGGAGACAGTTCTGCTGAAGAACTGCAATTGGCCACCCAGCTGACAGGACCAGTCATGCCCATCCAGAATGTCTATGAGAAGGAGAAAGCTCAAGTCACCACTGAGGAGAAGAATTTCAGAGCCTTTGCTAGTTGCTGCATGGCCCGTGCCAATGCCTGGCTCCTCCACATATGGACAAAAAGAGACATGGAAGCTACAGAACAGGATGTTGAAAAGAAAAACTGAAGCCCTCTTGGGGACTTGTAATAAATCAGCAGTATTGCTGGGTCCCCAAAAAAGGAAAAAAGAAAACCCTACAGAAAGAAATAATCCAATAAAAAATGAATAGACATTCCTCAAAATAAGACATACAAACTGCCAACAAATACATGAAAAAATGTTCAACATTACTAATCATTACAGAAATAAAACCACAGTGAGATATTACCTCACACCTGTTAGAATGGCTGCTATAAAAAAGATGAAAGGTAACAAGTGTTAGCAGGGATGTGGAGAAAAGGGGGAATCCTTGTACACTGTTGGTGGGAATTTAGATTAGTAGTCATGGAAAACTATGTGGAGTTTCCTCCAAAAACTCAAAATAGAATTACCATATAATCCAGCAACCCCACTCCTGAGTATTTACCCAAAAGATTTGAAAAGATTATGTGGAAGAGATTCTGCTCTCCCAAGTTCACTGCAGCACTGTTCCCAATAGCCAAGTTACAGAAATAACCTAAGTGTCCATTAACAGATGAGTGGATAAAGAAAATGTAATATATATACACCACAGAATACTATTCAGCCTTTAATAGCACCACAGGGTGACTAAAGTCAACAATAATTTATTGAACATTTTATCTCGAACTCCTGGCCTCAAATCATCCTCCTGCCTCAGACTCCCAAAGTGACAAGATTACAAGTGTGAGCTACTGCACCCTGTACATTTAAAAATAACTAAAAGAGTATAACTGGAATATCTGTAGCACAAAGAAATGATAAATGCTGGGCCAGGTGCAGTGGCTCATGCCTGTAATCCCAGCACTTTGGGAGGCTGAGGTGGGCAGATCACTTGAGGCCAGGGGTTTCAGACCAGCCTGGCCAACATGGTGAAATCGCATCTCTACTAAAAACACAAAAATTAGCCGGGTGTGGTGGTGGGCACCTGTAATCCCAACTACTGGGGAGGGTGGGGCACAAGAATCACTTAAACTTGAACCTAGGAGATGGAGCTTGCAGTGAGCTGAGATCACACCACTGCACTCCAGCCTGGGTGACAGTGCGAGACTGTCTCAAAAATAAATAAATAAATAAGAAAGAAATGATAAATGCTTCAGGTGGTAAATATCCAATTTAGTCTGATGTAATTACTACACATTGTGGTGTGCTTTTATTAAAATTCTTATGTACTCCATAAATATTTATACTTACTGTGTACCCATAAAAATTAAAAAGTATTATTATTCAGCCTTTAAAAAAAGAAGGAAATTTTGTCATTTGTGACAACATAGATGGAATTCAAACAATTCTGCTAAGTGAAGTAAGCCAGGCACAGAAGGAGACATACCACATGTTCTCACTTATATGTGGACGAAAAGAACCAAATTCCAAGAAGCAGAGAGTAGAACAGTGGTTACAGAGGCTGGGGCAGGGGATGTGGGGATGTGGGGATACAGAGATGATAGGCAAAGGGTACAAAGCCTCAATCTGACAGGAGGAGTACTTTTTTTGATACATTGCACAGCATGGTGAAAAAGAAAAATAATAATGTATTACACATTTGAAAATCATTAAGAGAGTAAGTTTTAAATGTTCTCTCCACAAAAAACGATAGGCATTTGAGGTGACAGGTATGTTAACTAGCTTGACTTAATTATTCCACATTGTATTTATAAAACATAACATCGCTTTGCACCCCCCAGATATATACAAATGTAACCTGAAATTTTATAATTAAAAAAAATTAAAATTAAAAAAAGAAAAGAAATACTACTTTCCAAGAAACCAGGGTTTCCTGGACAGATAATTTATACCAAGCATAGAACATGACTATACATGCTGAGTCTAGAACATTTTGATATACCAGAAGGTGAGGACGTCACCAAAGCCAATTCGGGTCATGTGTCAAAAGGACTCAGAAGCAAGAGTGAAGAAGCTGCCACTGGCCAAAGATGCAACAATTAAAGCTACAATATGGGTAAAAAACTGTAATGAGGCCGGGCACGGTAGCTCACTCCTGTAATCCCAGCACTTTGGGAGGCCGAGGCAGGAGGATCACAAGATCAGGAGATCAAGACCAGCCTGGCCAACATGGTGAAACCTCGCCTCTACTAAAAATACAAAAATTAGCCGGGCGTGGTGGCACATGCCTGTAATCCCAGCTACTGGAGAGGCTGAGGCAGGAGAATCCCTTGAACCTGGGAGGCAGAGGTTGCAGTGAGCCAAGATTGAGCCACTGCACTCCAGCCTCGGCGATGGAGTGAGACTCCATCTCAAAAAAAAAAAGTAATGAATGAAATCCGTCAAGTATGTTTAAATCTGTGAGTTCACAATGATAGAGTATTAAATGAAACTAGTCACCTGCTAAGGATAACAAGGAACCAATTTATTCTCATGAAAACTGGGAATATACCATATGAAAAAAATCAAGCGTTAACCCTGCTTTCCCTATATAAACTATGCCATTAAGTTACTAAATAGTGGATGAGGAAAAGGATTTTCTTATAAAGTTATTTCAACTAAAGAATGAAATAAAAACAAAGTGATAGTATTATCATTACTTTGTAACCCCTAATGAATTAATGGATCTAGGCACTGAGCATCAGCACTGCTAACACCAACAAAAGTGAAAACTGGACATCATCAGCTGATATCTTGCCAAACCTAAATCTGGTCAAGCCTCAGATTCTTGCTGCCAATTTTGAGAAACACATTGAGCTGCATTATGAGTGCACAATGCGCAACATCCAACTGTGGGGCACTCTGCAGATCAAACAACCCAGATTTCTAACAAATAAACTGTAAGACAAAGAAAGGAATGGAAGGAGAGTCACAAACTAAAAGGTAAATGACATGGTTGGGCGGGGTGGCTCACGCCTGGAATCCCAGCACTTTGGGAGGCCGAGGCTGGCGGATCACTTGAGGTCAGGAGTTCCAGACCAGCCTGGCCAACATGGTGAAACCCCGTCTCTACTAAAAATACAAAAATTAGCCAGCCACAGTGGCATGCACCTGTAATTGCAGCTACTCGGGAGGCTGAGGCAGGAGAATCGCTTGAACCCAGGAGGTGGAGTTTGCAGTGAGCCGAGATTGCGCCACTGCACTCCAGCCTGGGTGACAGAGCAAGACTCCTTCTCAAAAAAAAAAAAAAAAAAAAAAAAAAAAGACATGTAAAGTGAAAAAGGTGTGCATGTGTGAAGAACATTAAATTAATGTGTCTAGGGATACGCATTTGGCTGATAAAACTATAAAGCTAAGGAGTAATTCCTACAAAGTCAGGACAGTGGTTGGTTATTTTTGGAGGGAGGGAGGAAGGGGTGGGGTGGGGTTGGGCACATAGAAGCTATTCTGAGATAGCTGGTAAAGTTCTGTTTCTTGAACTGGGAGAAAGGGTTTAAATTTCCTTCAGATCAACCATTTAGATAGTAATTGGTGTTCACAGCAAGAACTGCTTCAAGAAAAGGATGGCAGGAGCTTGAGAAAGAAATGGCAGGTACTGAAGTGGACATAGATTCTTGAGTCCAAGGAGTGCAAAAGGTCACACGGGAAGATGCAGAGGAGCCCCATCTGCCAACTAGGTTATTCTTGGGAAGGGGGAGGAAGGGAAGTGAAGAGACACTTCCATTTCATAACGAATTCACTTGGCAATATATTTTTTCAGCAAGTTTGTATTACTTTTGTTAATTTTTTCAAACATGTAAATGTTTACTTTTAAAGGGTTTAATAATAAAAATAGAAATCTTAGTGGGGAAAGAGAGAAATCCCCATGCAGAAGAGTTCCTAACAACATATGCAGATATTCCACCTTCAAAGCGGGACGCATAACTCCCATTCCTTAAGGGCGGGCTACGCACAGTGACTTCTTTCCAAAGAGCACAGTAGGGGAAGAGGGGATAGAAGAGAAACTTTACTGTGAAGAAACCAGATAAACACTACCCCAGCCATGTGATCACCATCAATATCAACAGTGATAAATTATGATGACAGGATAGACCTTTGATATGATGTCATAAAAATGGCCCTTGACCTCTGTGGTCTTTCTCCCCAAGATCTCATAACCCCAGTCTAATCATGAGGAAAACATCAGAAAAATTCCACTAGAGGGGCATCCGACAATATACCTAACCAATAATCCTCAAAACTGTCAAGGTCGTCAAAAACAAGAAAAGTCTGAAAAACTGTCACAGCCAAGAAAAGTCTAAGGAGACGTGACAACCAAACACAATATGATATCCTGGATGGGATCCAGAAACAGAAAAAGGACATCCAGTAAAAACTAAGGAATGTCAATACAGTGCGGGCGTCACTTAATAATAACATGTCAATATTGTTCATTAATTGTGATACACGTACCATAGTCACGTAAAAGGTTAATAACAGAAGAAATGGTTCAGATGTGAGTGAACTCTCCAAACTAACTTCTCAATTTTTTCTGTAAATCAAAACTGTTCTAAAAAATAGTCTATTTTAAATTTTAAAAAATAGAAACTCTAAAAGTGGCAACCTCACAGTATCTTTACCAAGTTTAAGTTGAGCTTGGTAAGTTTCCTGCAATAAGTCAGGGTACATGGTTTATATTCCTTTTTTTTTTTTTTTTTTTTTTTTTTTTGAGACGGAGTCTCACTCTGTCACCCAGGCTGGAGTGCAGTGGCACGATCTCGGCTGACTGCAACCTCTGCCTCCCGGATTCAAGTGATTCTCCCATCTCAGCCTCCCGAGTAGCTGGGACTACAGGCACCACCACACCCAGCTAATTTTTGTATTTTCAGTAGAGGCAGGGTTTCACCATGTTGGCCAGGCTCGTCTTGAACTCCTGACCTCAAGTGATCCGCCCACCTCGGCCTCCCAAAGTGCTGGGATTACAGGTGTGAGCCACTGCGCCCAGCCTATATTTCTTTCTTATGCAAATATTTTGAACCAATCAACAGACCCCCCCAGAAGACCCCCATTGACCAGTGATCTAGAGACCACACTGTGAGAACCAACAATGACTTTGGCATAGTACGCTGTACTATTTTCAGACATTCCTCAGCACAATAAAATAGGAAGCAAAAAAATATGGTATTGGTGTGAATCTGAAAATATGTATGGCAAGCTGGGGAGAGAATGTTCTTGGATAAAACACACTGGGTACCAGCCATCAGAACTGTAACAGTCCAAGCAAAAATATGCATGTATAAAATATTTTCAAAGAGGTCTCACTTCTAAACATATAATCAGATAAAGCAGGCAATAACTCCTTCCACATCATCTCCTCATCTGTCATCTTCACACTGCGGATAATCACACAGCTCCTCAGTCAAGTACCTATCCAGCCCAGCTAGTAAGTCTGTTCCCTCAGATCCTCAGCACGTGATGGTAACACTACTTTACATTGATTCGTCTCTTTTTTTCAGAGACAGGGTCCTGCTATGTTGCCCAGGCTGAAGTGCAGTGGGCATTCACAGGCTCAATCATTGCGCACTACAGCCTCAAACTCCTGGGCTCAAGCGATCTTCCTGCCTTGGCCTTCCAAGTAGCTAGGACTATGGGTGTGCCACTGAATGCAGCTTGACACCGATTCCCCTTATAGCGTGACTTCACTAATGTATATTGTATTTCAATTCAAAAGTAAATTATTTAAGAGCAAGAAAAGAAAAAGGGGACGAGAACTAATATTCGCTGTCATGTGTTTTATTTTTTTTTGAGACAGGGTCTCGCTGTCACTCAGGCTGGAGTGCTGTGGTGTGATCATAGCTCACTGCAGCCTTGACCCCTGGGCTCAACTGATCCTCCCACCACAGACTCTGATAGCTGGGACTACAAGCGTGCACCACCATGCCCAGCTAAGTTTTTGTTTTTGTTTTTTTTTTTTTTTTTGAGACAGAGTCTCGCTCCGTCACCCAGGCTGGAGTACAGTGGCACAATCTCGGCTCACTGCAAGCTCCACCTCCTCTGTTCACGCCATTCTCCTGCCTCAGCCTCCCGAGTAGCTGGGACTACAGGCACCCGCCACCACGCCCAGCTAATATTTGTATCTTTAGTAGAGACGGGGTTTCACTGTGTTAGCCAGGATGGTCTCGATCTCCTGACCTCGTGATCCGCCCGTCTCCGCCTCCCAAAGTGCTGGGATTACAGGCGTGAGCCACTGCGCCCAGCCAAGTTTTTTATTTTTAGTAGAGATGAGGTCTCATGACGTTGCCCAGGCTGGTATCAAACTCCTGGGCTCAAGCTTCAGCCTCCCAAAGTGCATAAGCCATCACACCTGGCCCACTGTTATGTATTTTATATGTTAAACACTGTCCAATTTTATATAAATGTGTTAACAAAAAAAAATTACTTGATTCTCCATTTCCCCAATGTGGTAGGTGTTATTACACTTATTTTACAGATGAATATAAAGTTCAGAAAGGTAAAGTGACTTGGGAAGACCAGAAACTCAGTGACTCGCTGAGTCATGTCTCAGTGATGCCGTGAGGTCCACGCTGTGCCTCTCACAGCCTGCTGCCCCTTCAGGCCTTCTATGTGTGCACACTCGCCAGCTCCAGCTGCTGTGGAGGGAGACTTTCACAGGCTTTTTTGACATGAACCAAGCTGAGTGGCTGATAAGAGGGAACCCCATGGAAGGACCTTGCTAATAATATTTTAAGACCAAAGTCTGGCCTGTCTGTGGCTCTTAAGGAAATAAAAGGAAAATAAAGAGCATGGTGAACAGCATCATTATCAAAGGGGTTCACCTCTGTACCTCACTTTGCACCACTAATCAGAATACCAGGAACTTTCTAACATGCTGTACCCATGAAAAAAAAATATTTCAGATTGTAAATGACAAGAAATGGTCTTGTATGGTTATATTTTTAAATGGTAACCAAAGAATTGCATTTTATATCCTTTTCTTATGAAGAGGAGAACGTTTTGACAAGCATCTTACTGTACTGCCTACCACTTACTGCATCCTTATAAACCATATGCATATATTACAAATCAGCAATATTTTTCCTTCTTAATCCACATGTGTTAGATAAAAAGTGAAAAGTAGTGTTCTCAAGATTTGTTATTTTCCTTTTAAAATGTTTATAATTTATATTGTTTGCATAAAACTAAATGAGTTTCTTTTTTTGCTTCAAATAACCCAGAAAAGAAACCCAAAAATCTATAGTAATATAGTAATTTCAGCCAGAAGTCAGTATCAAAACAACACAAAACAAAACAAAAAAAACACTAAATTGTTTTTCATACTTCTTCACTACCTAATCTAAACCTGTTATCTTAGTTACATTTCCTTGCTAGTATTTAAATATGATAACCATAGCACTTTAAGAGAATTTTATTATGGAATATTTGCATGCTATAAAAATAAGACAAGAAGGACCAAATAGTTAAGTGTAGATTATGATCAAAGTCCTAGTTTTGGTTCTGGGCTGTCGGTGTGTTAGTATCATTCAGTAGAACCCACTGCAGCTAAGATCCAGAGCACCTAAATGATGAGCCACCAATTCACAACAAATCCCTACCACTTAGGTCCAGTAGCTGTCCAGTTTTTCAGATGAGGCAACCCTGACACACAGACTGTACAACAACTTATGCCAAATTTAAACATACTTCCTGAGACAAATAGGTAACACTTCAAAATGCTATTAAAGTAGAACCGATTCTAAGAAATGAATTGCAAGAAATTGGAACCCTTGGGCACTGCTGATAGGAAGCTTAGATGGTACAGCCACTGTGGAAAACAGTGTGGTGCTTCCTCAAAAATTAAATAGACAATTACTATATGATCCAGCAATTCTACTTCAAGGTACAGACCCAAAAAAAAACACCTGAAAGCAAGAATTTGAACAGAGATTTGCACATCGATGTTCATAGCGGCATTAATCACAAGAGCCAAAAGGTTGAAACAACCCAAATGTCCATCAGTGAGTGAATGGATAAACAAATGTGGAATGTACATATATTATTCTGCCTTAAACACACAACGAAACACACAACGAAATCCCGACACAGGCTACAACATGAATGAACCCTGAAGACATCATACTAAGTGAAGTAAGCCAGTCATAAAAAGACAAATAATGTCCAAGTCCATTTATAAAAGGTACCTAGAATAGACAAATTCAGAGAGACAAAAAAAGGAATGGTGGTTGCCAGGGGCTGGAAGTGGTGGAGAATGGGGAGTTATGTTTAATGGGAACAGTGTTTCAATTTGGGAGGGAACAAAAGTTCTGGAGAAGGATGGGGATGATGGCTGAATAACAATGTATACTTAATGCCACAGAACTGCACACCTTTACAATGGTCCATTTATGTTATGTATATTTTACAATAGAAAATCATAAGTAAAAGTAATTGCTGGCATCATTTGCATTGTCCTGAAGTATACAGGTTTTAGAATTTTTTACAAAATGAAAGAACTTATTGCAACTTTTCCAACTCTTATAAGAAAAAATATCGTGTACTTGTGTTAGAGACCAGAAATTACTTAAATATCTCCTTAGAATCTTAGTGAACTTAGTGATCAACATCTAAAATTATGCAGGAAAAAAGGGAACTCTGCAATTGGACTGACCATTATACCTGATTAGCTATCATTTTATAATCAAAAGTTCTATATGATCAAACAATAAACATTGCTCCTCATGATAAAAAACAGAAGTCTACACAATGTCACTGAATACTCACGATTCACTCACTGTTTCCAGTATAAAGCCATGGCATTCAACTCATGGCCTGAATAATAAGCGAGGAGGAAAAGAGCTACCCCAATTTTTCTTTTTGTTTCAAATGTTTTCTAATTTACCTAATATCCCATTCTCATATAATAGGGCTGTTGAAAGGCTTCTCTTTGGCTTCACTGTTTTCCTCTACTTGAACTTTACAAAGGAGATAAATGCTTCAGACATGACCTTGATTACACCGTGACTCGGCTTGGTAATGTCAGTTGCAAGTTTGTTGGTTTAAGGGTTAGAATAATTTGTAAGTAACAGTAAATGTTTCTATTGTGTTTCCAGAATTTATAAAGTTGACATAGCATGGAAAGCTAAGAGGATTAAAAATCCATTAAAATAATCACTAACATATGAAGAAGAAACACTCACAAACCTTCTTGAGAAGACACAATGGGTGGCAGGTAATCAGGAATGTATTCTTTTCTTTCCTCTGCATCTTTACTTCCAGGTTGAGGAAACTGAAGTACATTGTTCTTGCTAACAGGAAATGACGGAATTTGGTGTGGGAAGGTGACAGGCTCAATGTTGTGAATATAGTCTTCTAGTTCATGTAGACTAACCCCCATCAGCTGGAAAGCTTCACCAACATCATCCAAAATTGGGTCTGTTCGGCCATCTGAAACAAAGTGAAAAGCAAATCAAATTATTTGAAGAAATCCCACGAATATATTTTTAAATATTAAGAAAAAGTAGTAAGTAAATATGCAGCTCAGAATCAAACATTTTAACCTAGTTATTGGAAAGAATTTAATAGATTTTAAAGAGTATCACAGAATCATGTTTAAGCTGATTATTAAAGTCAAGTTTAAATATAATCAGACAACTAGCCAGAACACCACAGAAAAACCACATTCATGATTAGCTATTATAGAACAAATTTCAAAGTAGTTTACAGATGATCAAAAGCATCTGGAACAGCACCTGACACACAGAAAATGCCCCAAAAATAATAATAATAAAATAGTGTTTTGTCTTTTTTTTTTTTTTTAAGAGATGGCATCTTAGCTGGGCGCGATGGCTCACGCCTGTAATCCCAGCACTGAGAGGCCGAGGTGGGCGGATCACAAGGTCAAGGGTTCGAGACCAACCTGGTCAACACGGTGAAACCCCGTCTCTACTAAAAATACAAAAATTAGCCGGGCGTGGTGGCGCAGGCCTGTAATCCCAGCTACTCAGGGGACTGAGGCAGGAGAACTGCTCAAACCCAGGAGGCGGAGGTTGCAGTGAGCCGAGATCGTGCCACTACACTCTAGCCTGGGCAACAGAGCAAGACTCCATCTCAGAAAAAAAAAAAAAAAAGAGATGGCATCTTGCTTGTTGCCCAGGCTGAAGTGCAGTGGTATGATCACAGCTCCTTGCTGCCTCAAACTTCTAGGCTCAAGCGATCTTCCCCTCTCAGTCTCCTGAGTAGCTGGGACTATAAGCACATGCCACCATGCCTGGGTAATTTTTTTTTTTTTAATTTTGTAGAGATGAGTTCTTGCTATGTTGCTCAGGCTGGTTTTGAACTCCTGGCCTCAATCAATCCTCCTGCCTCTGCCTCCCAAAGTGGTGGGATAACAGGCATGAGCCAATGTGCCTGGCCTTTTTTTTTTTTTTAATCATCAAATAAGTAGTGTGCTGTGCTGACAAAGTCAATGTTGGTTACATTTCCTCTGTTGTTCCCTGATGCATCTGCAGAATCTTAAACAGTGGCTGGCACATAGCTGGCACTCAATAAATACCTATTGAATGAATTATACCATTAAATCAATTTTTAAAATCTAAGAATATTTACAAAGAAGGCTTAGATCATAAAAGTTTGGTTTTTGTTCGTTTTTTGAGACAGGGTCTCACTCTGCTGCCCAGGCTGGAGTGCAGAAGGGCAATCATGGCTCACTGCAACCTTACCTTCCCAGGCTCAAGCCATCCTCCTACCTTCACCTTCTGAGTAGCTGGGACTACCAGTGCACCACCAACATGCCTAGCCATAAAGATAATTTATCTATAAATTTTCAAATGTAATTAGAAAACACCACATAAAACAGAGATAAAAAGTTAGATATAGAGATTTTTTTCTTTACAAAAGCAAGTTTTTCTTATGCCTATTCTTAGCAGAGCTTAAGGTCTCTACATCTTTAAAAATGTCTATGAAAATTCCATTTTCTGATTTTCAATAGCCTAAAGGATTTAACTGAAATCCTGACTTTTTAACTGAAATCCTGAAATTTGATCACTTCAAACTCAGTATGTCTGAAATTAAATCACACTGTAAAATGAAAAAGAATCCAAATATTGCTAGAATTGGACGCATGTGTAGTAATGCATACAGAAACCTCTGGAAGGATATTCAGCCAATGGTTAACAGTTCGAGGGGTGGAAGCTGCAGTAGAGGCGAGGGCTGTGGTGGAAGCAGGAGACTGACTTCTAACTCCACATACTTCTGCAGTCTTTGATTTTTTTTTTCTATAAGTATGGGTTACTTCTGTGATGCATTAAAAAAAGAAAATAAATAAAACGAATACTCTTCTTCTTACTGAATGTAAACAGGCATTTCATCTCTTCTATTCCTATTAAAGCTATTATTACTCTCTCAGTCTAAAAAATATAATAATCTTAAATTCCTCCATATGCTTTGCAGCCTCAAACCAAAACCTGGTAGTTTCTAACCCTGTCCCCGTCCCCTTCGGCCACCTTTTTTTTTTTTTTTTAACCATGATTTCAGATTTTTTTCCTTTCTCTCTATTCTTACTGTCACTATCTCAGTATAGTCTCAAGTTCTGCCCACTTCAATCTCTTATGCACATCACTGTCAGTACAATTTTCTTAAAATACCACTTTAATCATACTATTCCCCTACTTAGGAGTATGCAATGTTTTCTACTACATGTTTTAATTCTTTTGTCTAGCTTTCAAGTCCTTCCATAACCTGATCTCACTCTGTTGAACATTTTACTCAGACACCCTTGGAATGAACTAGCTGCATAGGGAGCTGAACACCTTACTGGTACTTTTATTATGCTTAATCTCACCTGGACAGCTTAGTTTATGTGATTCTCTAAGCTGGAATACTCTATACCTTTATACAACCATACTTCACAGCTCAACTCAAATCTTATCTTTTCTGTGAAGTAATCCTACCCCAGAATCTATAGCCTACAGCCATCTCTCCTCTTATCCCTTTTACATTTACTCCCTGTACCATGCAAAAAAATATTACAGTACTAGTGTTGAAGAGTCAGTCTGAAAGATTTAGCACCTGCTTTCAGTACATGCCAACATATTTAACATATAATGTGACACCGACAGAGACATCTGCCCTTGAATGCTTGGAGACATTGTTACCCTAAGGCAATTCTTAAGTTCATTATTTGTTCATTATTTGAATTAATGGTAACTTCTAATACTTGCTTTAACTTGAGAACATTTCTTTTAGAAGAAACAAACACCATCAGTTTGTTGTTTCCTGACATTCTGGAACTCTTGAACACACCTTATGGTCAGGGATTGTATCTTAGTAATTTTATGTCTCCAATGCCTAGTACAGGGGTTGGTTCGTAAGTGATGCTCAGTAAGTGTTTGTTAAAACAACAGAAAGGATTTAAAGGGGTGGAATACAAGATTCCATAGTGGTAACCTGGAGCTACAGAATTTGATTTTAGAATAAGGCTGGTATAGAAAAAAGAATCTAAAAATATCTAATAAGTATACCAAAATTAGCATTAAAAAAAAGTCACCAAATTACGTGGGAATAATGAACCTGACAATCTCATTCTCACTGAAACCAAGAAACTGGCTACGGAAACTTGGTAATTAGGAACAAGGTTTACACTGAAGAGCTGCAGTGACCCCTGGATGACTTTGGAATACCTAGTCACATAGAGTGGCAGCTCCCTTCTGTTTTGTATAAATGGCAGTAAAGGTAACTATGTATTCAGGAGACATTTTGAATATCTAAAGATACATGGTAGCAAACATAATCTGGACTATGCCTAGCCTAGCCTAGCCTAGCCTATCACTAACGGTATACTCAAGGACCACTGCAGCGGAGGCCAGAGGAAAAAGAAACAAAAGCCAGAAGAGTAGTCAGCTGGTGATGTACTTTCAAGATAAAAATGCACGCATATTACTTTGTGGTTCCACATTCAGATGTATCAGTGAGCTGGGCATGGTGGCTCATGCCTGTAATCCCAGCACTTTGAAATGCTGAGGCAGGAGGATCACTTGAGCCCAGGAGTTTGACACAAGCCTGAGCAATATAACCAGACCACATCTCTACAAAAAATAAAAAGATTAGCCAGGCATGGTGGCGTATCCCTGTAGTCCCAGCTACTTGGAAGGCTGAGGCGGGAGGATCACTTGAGCCCTGAAGTTCGAGGCTATAGAGAGCTAAGATCGCACCACTGCACTCCACGCTCGGCGACAGAGTGAGACCCTGTCTCAAAAGAAGAAGAGTAATAGAAGTATCAGTGAAATCAAGCATTCAAAACATATACATTTTTGGAACTCAATATGTAAAGTCAATAAGTGGCTTTTAGGGTAGTGGTTTATCAGTTCATTCATTTATTCAACAAATATTTCTCAGGTGCCTATTATATAATGGCCCTACAGGTTACAGAATACAAATATAATCAATTTTTCTCCTGGAGAGGGGAAAGAGACATACACAGGTGATTACAAAACAAGATGACAAATAATATAAAAGAAATATGCACAGAATTATGAAAGCAGATAACATGAGTTCCCTAGAGCAAGTGATAAGTGCATCTGAAAATAAAAGTAATACTATTGGTGGGCCACGGGCAAAGGACACTCTAGGTAAGAAACAGCACGCATGTAGGAATGGACAGCTTAAAACATTTTGGAAAAGGCAGGTAGCTCAGCGTGGTCGCAGATTAGCATGGCAGGCTGGCAAAAGGTAAGCAAAATGCTAGCTCACAAAGGGAACTGTGTACTGCTAAGAGTTTCGATTTTTAGCCTGTAACCAACGAAGTATAGTTAAAATGTTTTTAAGAATAATGACAGGATCAGATCTGTGCTATGGACAGATTATTTTGGCAGCCCTGTGGAAGCGGGAACGAAACTTGGGGCCTAAGAAATACAGCGTGTGTCTGTGAGTCTCAATTTTCCAGTATAGGAACCACTTTAACAAAACAAAATATCCTATGAAACACTTCATTCAGTTCTCCAGCTCACCACCTTAAACATCATGACTTGAAACTAAAATGAGTGGTAGTTTCCTCTCCTCAACAAACACACATACAATGCTTCACATCAACAAGATAATGTGGAGCTTCTATTAAAATATTCCATTCCTTCCATTAAATTATTAAATACCACTAGCTATAGATATTACCAGACATTCATTTAAAACTCATAAGTACTGTAGCCCAGATTACCTGGAGAATCTTGTCAACTGCCCACGGTCCCTCTATCCTACTTCGATAGCCACTGACATCTCACTGGTAACCGAGACGTAAGTGAAAGTACATCTAATCAGCGAAACTGACAAAGTCAGCCTTGGAAAAACAGTAAATGGAGATGTCGTTCACGAAACGAACAGATACAGAAAGACGAGGCAGTGTCCCTAACGGAGCAGAGCTGTCAACGAGTCTATGTAGTTAGGAGCCCAGGAATGGCCAGTCTTGTAAGAAACGGCCGGTAGACGGAGCGCCTGTGACAACTAGTTGTAGTAGTTTGCGGGCAAGGGAGAAAAAGGACCGAGGTAAAAGAGGGTGTAGGGCACGCTGGGGGTGGATCTACCCGCAGCAAACAGGAGACAATGAGAGAGATCCAGACACAATTCAGAGCGGAGGAGCGGTAGGAGGGTGTGGAGCTGGGAGCGAAGACCCGACTCCCGGGCTGGTGGCGGGAAGTTAGCGGATAAGGAAGAGGCACCCGAAGGATGACTAGAGTTTGGAGCGGCAGTGGAAGCCCAGGGACGTGGGAGGCCGAGGAAACAGCAGATCTCGAGGCGGGGTGCGGGATGCACACCCCGGGGACGCGGAGGGACAGGGAGAGCGAAGGTGTCACCCTTGACTTGCCGGGGCAGCCCTCCCGCACCCAGCCCGGTACTCACAGAGCTCAGAGTACCGATGGCAGCCCCGGCCCAGCTGCTGCAGATAGCGCTGCAGCACGTCCGTGAGGAGGTGGCAGGCGCTGAGCTGCACCGAGTCCCAGCCCAGCGCCTGGCAGATCTGCGCCACCGAGACCCTCAACAACGACCTGGAGTAACTCTCGCACATCCCGCTGCGTGGACGCCACCGCAGCCCTTGCTGCCACTGCTCTCCAGCCCCGCCGCCAGACCTTAGCAGGGTCCCCGATTCATCCTCTAGGGCTTCCGCGGCGGGGAAAGGGTCCCCCGGACCCCCGGCGACCACCTCAAAGCCCCAGCAGCACGGAGCGCGCCAGCCTGAGAGCCGCCATTTTGGACTCGCTCCGCCTCCCGCTGGACGGCCGCCGGGGCGAGGCAGCATAAGCCGAATGCCGAGCGCGGCGATGAGAAAGCTCCGCCCCTTGGGAGCGGAACGATTCCTCGGGATCGCCTCTGAGGCCTGGAAGCCGGCCGGAAGCGGGCGTGGGGCGCGCAGGTGGAGGAGGCGCCCAGGGCGGCAGGTGCTGGGGCGCTCACCTGGGGGACAGCGGTGACGAAAACGCCAGTGTTTTAGAGGCAAACGAGGGATCTGGGATACGACATTGACAGGTTAGAGAGTTAGCACTAATAACGTTAGTCATATTAGAGAGTTATGTGCTAGAGAGAAGTTTGGGGCGTGGGAACTTACGGAGCTCGCCAAACGCAGACCTGCGCTGGTGTTGCCTCAGCTAAAAATCTGTGTATTGAGCTGCTTGCCACTGCAAAGATTAAATAAAGTCCAAGCTGTTCCGCATGCCCTTCAAAGCCCTTCGCAATAGGGCAGGAACTAGGAGGACTCTGTGCCAAATTAATGGGGGCCTCAAAAAACTCAGTCATCAAGATCGATAATATTTTAACAGTTTTTTTAAAAAAATCCAAATCCATGCCATAAACTCCTGACTCACTCATGTCATTCTAATCCCAGCCCTGGTTCCAATAAAACTTTTTTTTTTTTTTTTTTTTTAAAAAAAACAGGTAAGCTGCCTGTGGGCTATAGTGTGCGATTTGAGCATCGCGGCTGTGACCTATCGGGGGATGGGGACCTCGGCTGCCTACAGAGGCCAAACCGAGCCTTAAACCGGTGTCGCAGGCCGAGTGTCCTGGGAACGGTTGCCTACCCCAGAGCCTTCTCCCAGCTCCATCCAAGTATTGCCAGAAATCGGATTTAGGGATAAATATCTTGATTTTTAAATACAGAATTGGGAACACATCTCAAAAGCCAAACTGATCCCACGGTTAGTCTAGATTCAGCCTGCAGGTCGCCCGATTGTAGTGGCTGAACTATGCGGTTTCTTAAATATGCCCTTCTGTACTTATCACAGTGTATTTAGTTTATGTGCTCCTCCAATAAATTGCGAGTTTATGAGTGGCTCTATATTCCTCCGACAGGGACTATTCCAGAACTTTGAACATGATATTCACATTTTTCAAAGTCTGGGAAACTCAATAATAGAACTGAAATTATGGTTCTTCAGCTAAATGACGATCTGCAGAGAAGCAAGGTACTAAAGGGCAAGGTGCCTGCATTTACTCCCTGGACACTCTGTCCCCAAGTTATCAGGAACATTGTGTTGCTAAATCTATGAGACATTTTTCAGTCCTAGCCGTACTTGATTATTTTGTAGCTATTTGATAATGTTGAACGCTTCTGTAACATTGAAACTCTCTTGCGCCTTGGATTTCACAAATCTGTCCCGCTACCGCCGCCACCCTGGGTGTTTGTTCCTCTTCATTTGCCTTTCTGTGTATAGGGGAGGGGATTTTATTTCGGAAAATTTCAAACCTACAGAAAAGTTGAAACAAAATCATAGACTCACGTGTACACTTCAACTAGATTCACCAATTGTTAACATTTTGCCAATTTACTATATATTTTGTATTTATATATGCACGCAGGTATTTTTTTTCCAGCAGTTTGAAAATAAGCTGCAAACTTCATGACACTTAACCCCACCACACCTCGACATGTATCACCCCAAAACAAGAACATTCCCCCACATAACTATACACAAGACCATATGTCACAGGCTTGGTTCCCCAGGAAGTCAACTCTGAAATAGAGATGAGCCTGCAGAAAGTTCATTGAGGGATCCTCCTGGGACTTGGGGGAAGGAGTGAAAGCCAGGGTGCAGTGAATTCCTTGGCAAGAAAGCCTCAGCCAAGCCAATGCCATAGTGTGCAGAAGCTGGAGTGGCCCTTCAGAGCTTCCCTGAATCCAAACAAGAAGACTGGACCTTTATATTCCCATAGGAACAGGTCACTGCATGAGGGCTACCTGGGAAAGGGTGTGTGCTCTCAGGCAAAGGAACACTGCAGCTGAGTCCATTCAATTCCAAGGACAGCTGAAGTCCTTCAGTCCTGAGGGGGCTCTGAGCAGTGGATTAGAGCATTCATCACAGTTCATCTATTTTACCCTCAGAGACACTTCTTGGTTTGAGGAACAGCTCCTCCAGGATTCTGGAGGGGGCCCTTTCCCTGGGGAAAACATTAAAGAGGAAGGTCAGGAGACAAATTAGAGCCCCGACTGCTGCAGCCAGGCCTCAGCTGATACTCAGTATTCTCCTCCTCAGGCCTACATTTCTCTCACTTCTGGTCTCAGTAGCTTATTTGGTGGCATGATGCAGACCCTCATGTGCAGGTCTGAGCCCCTGGTTTCCAGGCCCTTTTCAGACTGTGGCTGCTGAACTCGTCCTTGTACCATCAGAACTGGGGAAGAGAATACCCAAAATTGGGCAAGAGGCACCCAAACAGACCATGTGGAAACCAAACACTCCACCTTGCCTCCCACTCTGTAATAGGAGCCCATCCCCCTCCTAAAGATGACTCCTCTCTTAGCTGCAGTCTCAGTGGAAGTGCCCAGGCAGCAACTGTAGCTAATGTTTCAGTGGGACTCCTGCTAGGTCCTCTGGTGAAAGCATTCCCCCTTTTGGAAATGGGATCTGTAAACCTGGAGAACCCAGAGTGGCAGGACAGGAAGAACAATTTCCCAGGTGGGTCCCTGGGAGTGATGTAAGTGGAGAAACCCCAGTCTCCACCCTGTGTCATCTACTTATTGGGAACCCAGCATCACAGAAGTCATTGACTTGGTGGGGCACAGTGGCTCATGCCTTTAATCTCAATACTTTGAGAGGCCAAGGCAGGTAGATGGCTTGAGGCCAGGAGTTCAAGACAAGCCCTAGCAGCATAGTGAAACCCCCATCTCTACAAAAAAAAAAAAAAAAAAAAAAAAAAAAAATATATATATATATATATATATATATATATATATATAAAGAAATTAGCCCCAGCTACTCAGGAGGCAGAGGCCAGAAGATAACTTGAGCCCAGGAGTTTGAGGCTACGGCGAGCTATGATCGAGTCACTGCACTCCAGCCTGGGCAACAGTGAGACCCTGTCTCTACAAAAAGAAAAAAGGTTGTTGGCTTAAAGAGTGCACAGCAGCCTAGGGGATCAGGCCCATCCTCAGAAGGTATTGCCTGTGTGCTGGTGCTTTCATTGTGCCTAAAAAAGTCTATTCCATTGCTCTGCCAGGCTGACAGCTTCTGAGTGGTGTGGTGTATGATATGACCCGTGGGTTTCATAGCCTTGTGCCCACTCCCACGTTTCCTTTATTGTAAAATGGGCCCCTTAGGCTGACATAGCGTGATATGGGAACCCAGTGGCTCAAACAAGATGAGCAGGAAAGGCAAATCCATACCCAGAGTATATATCTATTTCTTATCACAATGAATGTTTACCCTCGTTATCACATGGCTGACTAGGAATTGTGGCTCACAGCCTGTGTCCGGCATCATGAGAGAGCATGGTACCACATATTGCTAGCCTGAGAAAAGATCAAAATTCAAAGTGTGGTTTCTACTGAATGCATATTCCATTTGTACCATCGCAAAGTTGAAAATCATAAATTAAACCATCGTTAAGTTGGGGACCGTCTGTGTATGATGACACAGGGTGAGAGAATTAACATAGCTCTAGGACAAGACCAAAATGTATACTGTTGCCTGTTCCAACTGAATAGAAACTATTTCTGATCCTTTCTGTTTGGGATGGAAAAGACAACTTTCACCAGCCAATGACCGCATGCCATATGCTTGAGACAATGTCTATCTGTTCTAGCAAAGACACCACATCTGGCACAGCAACTGCAACCAGGGTTACTACTTGGCTAAGTTTACAACAGTTCACTCTCACCCTTCAAGATGCATCTCATATTTGCAGGAGCCAGACTGTCAGATGAAATGAAAATATAGTGACCCACAGCCTCAGCATCCTTTAGGTCATGATTTCTGCCCACCCCGCCCCAGCTGCAGGGGCAGTTTCAAAGTCATCTCCTCAACCCTCCCATGCCCAAAGTTCTTACCTATGGGCCAAAGAACCAGCGTAGGGGTTGTGCCAACATCCCAGTATGTCTGTTCCAGTGACACATTCAGGAATCAGGGAATTGGCCACTGAGTAGGTCTAAGTGTGAGCTGAGCCTGGGCCAAGACTCCAGGTGCCACTTGGCCTCAGATGCCCCCACTCTGACAAGGGACTCGTGATGACTCCGCATCTCCTGGTTTCATTCTCAGCTTCCTCAAAATGTGTGGGTTTCCCTTTCCCCAGTGGACCGTTACCTGAGTAATGGTCGTAGGTTCTTTTGCAAAAGGAGTGGGGGGATCATTACCTTCGCCGTTTGGTGCTGCAGCATTCTTCTTCCTGAAGACTCAGCCTCTTCTTCAGTCAATAGGGTTTCAGTCTGAAAGCTGGCTTGGATCCAGGAATGGGGCATGGAATCATGACTGGTTATGGGAGTATCTGCCCTCACCCCCGACTACCCATCCTTGAATTATTTTGATGGACCAGATTGAGTAGCCCACGTGTTGGCGTCCATCCATTTCGCCCAGGGACCCCTTATTCTATGAACCATCCCCGTAACTCACCAGGTAAGCCCACACCCCTCTGATTGCTCTCACGCATAACTGCATTCACTTGGCTTCAGACTGCTAAATAGTTAAGTATTGCCACCTGGTTTCTATGATTTTTGGGGTCCCATGAGCTCCATATTTCTCAAATATCTGGTACATTCATACATTGTCCCAGCTTGCTTCCACTGTTTTACTACCCTGTTCACCCCTGGTGGAAGTTTTAAGACTTGCATATTCAGGAACTGCTGCCTTGTGTCAGGTAGCACCTCTGTGCTCCATCCACCACCCATACTGAAGTCCTCACCGCCAGCCAGTGGGGGAATCCAGCTCCAAAATCCCATCTTGCATCTGCTCTTTCAGACCTCTCCGGCACCAAATGTCCCAAGCTGGACTCCCCAGGAGGCTGTCTCTGAGATGAAGATTAACCTCAGAGGAGGGCTCTTGGGGTCACCGCCTGGCAGAGAGAAGAGGAGGGCAGGCAGGAAGCAGGACTAGGGAAGGGCAGTGTTGAGAAGGGAGGGGCTTGGGGAGGGGAAGGGATGGGGAGAGGTTGAGGAGGAAAGGTGGAAGGGAGAGGAAGGGGGATGGGAAAGGGGGGGACGGGAAAGGGGAGAGAGCAGGACTGGGATAGGGAGACATTGGGCTCCAGCTCACAAAGGCCTCAGTCAAGCCCACAGAGAGCTGTAAGGCTGGAATGGCCCTTTGCAGTGTCCTGAGCCAGGCAGGGGGTCTTTATACTCTCATACTGATCAGACACTGGATGTAGGTGCTTCCGGAGGGGGCCATGACCTTGGGCAAGGTGATCTCCAGCTGAGGCAATTCCAACGAGGGTTGGCAGCTGGGGGCTGTGTGCTTCCACCATTCCCAGTGGAAGGTCCTTCTGAAGGGGGATCTGGATGGTGCATCACAGCTCCCACCTCCCCATAATACCATGATCACACTCAGCAAACTAAGATTGACACAATAATATCCCACAAAATAAAGTGCGTGTTCAGATTTTCCCATTGTCCCCAAATGCCTTTTATGGCTTTACATTTTATTTATTTATTTATTTATTTTTTGAGACGGAGTTTTGCTCTTGTTGCCCAGGCTGGAGTGCAATGGCGAGATCTTGGCTCACTGCAACCTCCGCCTCTCGGGTTCAAGCGATTCTCCTGTCTCAGCCTCCCAAGTAGCTGGGATTATAGGCGTGCACCACCACACCTGGCTAATTTTTGTCTTTTTAGTAGAGATGGGGTTTCACCATGTTGGCCGGGCTGGTCTGTAACTCCCACCTGCCTTGGCCTCTCAAAGTTTTGGGATTACAAGGCATGAGCCACTGCACCCAGCACGGATTCTTTTCTTTAGCTGGTGTGTCATGATCCATTACCTTCGTGATTCTCTTGCTGCTTAAATTGTCCCGTATTTGGCCAGTGGGAGCCCTTTCCAGCCGGCCACTGTATTCTTGTACTGTGTCACCATCATTCATGGAGGACTTGCTATTTGGTGCCACTAGATTTTCCAGGCTCACCTTGTGCTTCTCTTGCTCTAAGCTTGGAAGTAGACATCTCTCTGAGGAGCCCTGGTTCTTCTTAGAAAGGAATATTATTTAGAACCCAGACGTGTGCTAGCTGACCTTCATTACTACAGGGAAATCATTGCTTCAGGGCCCTTGTAGTGGAAAGAACTAAAAAATATGTATCTTTTTTTTTTTTGAGACGGAGTCTTGCTCTGTCACCCAGGCTGGAGTGCAATGGCTGGTCTCGGCTCACCGCAACCTCTGCCTCCCGTGTTCAAGCGATTCTCCTGCCTCAGTCTCCCGAGTAGCTGGGATTACAGGTGCACGACCTTGCCCGGCTAATTTTTTGTATTTTTAGTACAGATGGGGTTTCACCATGTTGGCCAGGCTGGTCTCTAACTCCTGACCTCAGGTGATCCGCCCACCTCGGCCTCCTAAAGTGCTGGGATTACAGGCGTGACCCACTGCACCCAGCAATATGTGTACTTTTGAAGTGCAAAGTACACACAGATGCCTCTAATTCAAGTCTAAAATTACATATCCCTTTTCTCCTCCCATGTCCTATTTGCATATCCTGTCTCTCCCAAAGTGAGAAACCTGGCTTCAATATCAAAGATTTGACTTATCCTGCAATGTCTTTGCCTTTTATTACTTTTTTTGTTTGTTTGCTTGTTTTGTTGAGACAGAGTCTTGCTCTGTCACCCAAGCTGGAGTGAAGTGGTACGATCTCAGCTCACTGCAACCTCTGCCTCGCAGGTTCAAGTGATTCTCCTGCCTCAGCCTCCCAAAAAGCTGGGATTACAGGCATGCACCATCATGCCTGGTCACAGCTCACTGCAGCCTCGACCTCCCAGGTTCAAGCAATCTTTCTACCTCAGGCTCCTGAGTAGCTGGGACCACAGGCACATGTCACCATGCCTGGCTCATTTTTGTCTTTTTTGTAGAGATGGGTTTTGCTATGTGGCCGAGGCTAGTCTCAAACCGCTGGGCTCAAGCAATTTGCCCACCTCGGCCTCCCAAACTGCTGGGATTACAGGCATGAGCCACTACGCCTGGCAGCTTTTGTCTGCTTTTACAGTGTTCTCTTTTCATAGGATTCACCTCAGTGATTTCATCATTAGCTGTGTAAAGATGACTCCTTAATATAACACTTTATCTTGGATTGTTCCTGAGTGCTATACTAGCGTAGCTAACTGCATCTAATGACTAATGTCTGCTTGGATGTCCAATATATCACTCAAATGTAATTAATGTTTGAGGGATGTCCGAAACTAAAATCATTCCATTCTTTGCTGTATACTTTGCGGGGGTAGAGGCAGGATCTGTGTTCGTCTCATTCACTAGTAAATAGTACCTAGCAGTTAGTCATATTTCAGTAATGCCTTTTAGCACAATTCATCTTGCAATGATATAGAGAGTGGATTAGAGCACAACTCTGAATATATGAAAAACCACTGAGTGGTAGAATTTAGAAGGGTGAATTTCATGGCATGTGGATGATGTCTCAGTGAAGCCACTCTTTGAAGAGAGTAACTAGAAGTGAACAGTGGAGGCCAGGAATCAGGAACCTGTTCAAGAGCAGGAGTGGCAGAAATGGAGAGCAGCTGCTTCTTTAGCAGTGAGACTGCACACAGCTTAGCGGGGCATGAGATCTGTAGAACGAAATTTCTTCCTGAGATCAGAGCTCAGACTCATCCAAGAGGCCTGATCCTTATCATTCTGTCTTGGTGGACAAGGAAAAGAACCAAGAGCAATGTGGGAAAGGCGAGTACTGGGGCGTAGCGGTCAATGCTGACGAGGGTTACAGTTGAGGACCAGTGAGCCCAACTTCAGCCAACGGCAGCACTTTTTCTTCAGTTGGTGCCAGGAGCTCAGTGACTGCACAGTTCTTAAGCTTCATTTAGAGAGTTTTGAATAATGATAATAAAATTTCTGAAAGCTTCAACTATTCTATATTAAAGCACACAGAGAAACAGTTTCCTAAAGGGCACATTATAGACAACAGTTGTAATGATGGAAACTCAATCCTAGAATATTAAAATTAACAGACCTAGCCCTTTAGGTACTGTGTAGGTGTTTGCAGAAAATAGGATAGCCAGGAGCAGTGGCTCACTCCTGTAATCCCAGCACTTCAGGAGGCCGAGCCAGGCAGATCACTGAGGCCAGGAGTTCGAGACCAGCCTGGGCAACATGGCAAAACCCTGTCTCTACTAAAAATACAAAAATCAGCCAGGCATGGTGTAGTCCCAGTTACTTGGGAGGCTGAGGTGGGAGGATGGCTTGAGCCCAGGAGGTGAAGTTTGCAGTAAGTCAAGATCCTGCCACTGCACTCCAGCCTGGGCGATAAGAGCCAGACCTCATCTCAAAAAAAAAAGCAGTTTGAATTATGTAATAAACCTTACCAGTGGTCATTTATCACTGTAATTCCACTGTGTTATGCCACTTAGCAAAAGGAGAGGACAGAAGTTGGGGGAAAATTTCAAGCTTACTCTTTGATTCCTTCCTACATGTCTAAACCACACAGCATGGTACACTCACCTTTCCAGATTTATCTTGCCTTTCTCGTTCTCTGTATTAGCAGTTTTCAGAATGTGCATTTGAACAGATTTTGGTCTTTGCTTTTTCTGCTTCCTTGGCCTGAAATGCCTTCCCTCCCCACCAGTTAGCTCTAGTAGTTTAATTTCTACTGTTGGTCACTGGTCCTTGAGGACTGTTTAGACCTCCCTTCCTCCAAGCTGGACGGCCTTCTCAGTCCCCTTCATCTGTCCCCAAATTGAGTCACTGTCCCTCTTGTGGCTCACCAATTGTAACTTACCACATTCTGTCATTTGCTTGTGTTCCCTCCAGACTGTAAGCTCCTGCAAGGAGGCGTTTTGTTATTGTATCCTCAGAGAGTCAGAGTGCCAGTACACAGAAGAGCACCACTAAAGGCTACAGGGAGCTGATGATTAATTTTACATAGAGCAGACATTTAACCAAGAATATAGCACTTACTCCCTGTCAGATTCTCGATATTTTAAAATATTAGCTCATTTAATCCTAACAATCTTTTAATCTCCATCTTATAGATCATAAAACTGAAAGATTAAGTAACTTGCCCAAGGTCACAGCTGTTAAGGGCTGAGCTAGTATTCCAGTTCAGACACAGATTATTCTTACTTATGTTGACTGATTTCAAATTCCTGCTTTTCCTCCTTCCATGATGTCTAGGACACTCAAATCACCCTCACAAATGTGTTCTGCTCTCCTAGAAACTGGAGGTGGGTCAAGCCAAGCTTAGAAGCAAAATACAAAACAGGATGGGCATGGTGGCTCACACCTGTAATTCCAGCACTTTGCAGGGCTAAGGAGGATCACTTGAGCCCAGGAGTTCAAGACCAGACTGGGCAAAATAGCAAGACCCCATCTCTAAAAAAAAAATTTTTTTTTAAATTAGCCAGGTATAGTGGCGTGCACACACACACACACACATACACACAGCCTCCAGAGGCACGTGGTTCGTTGCTAACATTCCCAAAAGGTATCTTGTACTGGTTCACACTACACCTCCATCTGATTCCTCAGTTGTGAGCTGTTTCTTTCTCCTAGTCTCAGCCACCAACCCCTTCAGAAGTGGCTCCTGAAAACTTTGAGGGGAGTTAGAAAATGACTTTGAAGCTCTGGTCAGTTCACTGAACCTTTTTATTCATTACCACGAATATAGCTGTAAATATTTAAAGAATCCATTCTAAATACATGCATTCATTTGTTTTTAAAAGAGGAGCTTGTTAAGAATGGGTTTTATATTGTTTATAATTTTATGTATTTTGGAATTTATATATTACTTTTGTAATTAAAAAAAACCCAAAAAACTAAGTTATCAATTTTAAACAAATAGGGAAAAGCCTGAAATTTTGGCATGGCCAACTCAGAGTGTGGAGTCAACGCAGGCATCTAATCTTAATTGTGATCTAAATGTGAGTATCGTACTTTTCTCAGTGTTTAGAAAAGATGTTTTAAATAATTTAGAGTAAGTATATGCTTGCAATTTTGTATCCAGAATTCCAAGCAAATGCTTCCTGTGGCATTTTTTTTTTTTTTTTGGAACAGAGTCTTACTCTGTTGCCCAGGCTGGAGTACAGTGGCGCGATCTCAGCTCACTGCAACCTCTGCCTCCCAGGTTTAACCGATTCTCCTGCCTCAGCCTCCTGAGTAGCTGGGATTACAAGTGTGCACCATTTTTGTATTTTGTTTTGTTTTTAGTAGAAACAGGGTTTCACCATGTTGGCCAGGCTAGTCTCAAATTCCTGACCTCCAGTGATCCACCTTGAGTCTCAGTCTCCCAAAGTGTTAGGACTGCAGGCATGAGCCACCGTGCCTGGTCTTGTTGACTGTTCTTTAAGGCTGTAATAAGGCACAGAACTGGGCTGAGGCTGTGGCTGCAGCCCTTTCCCTCTACGTTGTCCCCATAGAGGCTAGACATTTTAAGGTCAGTGGAGCACTACCAAATCAAAAGAGCCTCTTAAATTGTCTTCTACTAAAAAATTTTAATAGTAGCATATTAATATTTTTAAATGTTTTAGTATCATCTCATTTCAAAAACTATATCTATTGTTCTTATATATAAGAAAAACAATGATTTTATTTTAAGTTGTTTATTTTAAGATAATTTACAAATATCTTGCTGTCTTCAGTAATTCAAATAATGGAGGAACAGTTTCTTCGGACAAAGGCAGCAGTAAGCTAAAAACAAAATCAACTGGCTGAATTTTCCTTCTTTACCTGAAAAACAAAGTACAGAACAAGTAAGAAATCAAACAGCATTTTTTGGGAAAATAATGTCAAGAGATAATAATACATATTTAAGTGGGGTACAGAGAACTGAATTTACACAATAAAGTGTTACCCTATACCAGTGATTCTAAAATTTTGGTCTGGGGAACCTTTCATGGGGTTCATGAGGTCAAAACTATTTTCATGATAATGTTATTTTGCCTGTTATATTCTCATTCTCGAGTATACAGTAGAGTTTTCCAGAGGCCACATGATCCATGACATCACAACAAAATGAATAGAGACAGATGAAAATCTAGCTGGCTTCTGCTACATGAATCAGACATTAAGGGGTCCAGAGACCATAAAGTGTGACAACCACCACTCTTCACAACCTATATATAATATCTCAAAATAATGTTAATTCTCTATCCTCAAAGTTTATTTCCTTATATCTACATTTTCTATGATCAACACACTCACTACAAAAAAGTCCACTAGCGTTGCCCAGGTGCTCCCGTGAGTTGGCTGCTACTGTGAAGTGGCCCATCCATCTAAATCTCTCAGAGGACAATTCTAGGATTACTAAATTAGCTTAACTTATATCTGAATAGGTTTCTTTTCTGAACAGACATGGGAAGAATGTGTGAACTTTACCTCTTGTCTGAGGATGGAACTTGATTTTCATTAATCCCTGGTTATTATATTAGAAGAAAAAGACAAACACAAAACAAGCAGGTCAAGAAGCAATCCATGCTAGTTAATCACATATGCTTTCCAATGAAAAAAAGTCAATTGTTAAACTTGATACCTTGAGTACATCATGCAAAAATACTTACCACAAGATTCCTTTGAAACAGACTCAATGACTGTTATAAAAAGTCATAGATTTCAATCCAGGTTAGAAGCAATAAAAACATGCTCATGCAAGTAGGCAAGACTATGAATATGTAATTTAAATTACAATTTTTCTATAAATTAACACAATATATTTAGAGGTTTTTTTTTTTTTTGGAGATGGAGTCTTGTTCTGTTGCCCAGGCTGGAGTGCAGTGGCGTGATCTCAGCTCACTGCAACCTCCTCCTGGGTTCAAGTCATTCTCCTGCCTCAGCCTCCCGAGTAGCTGGGATTACAGGTGCCCGCCACCACGCCCAGCTAATTTTTGTACTTTTTTAGTAGAGACGGGGTTTTGCCATGTTGGCCAGGCTGGTCTGGAACTCCTGACCTCAGGTGATCCACCCGCCTCGGCCTCCCAAAGTGCTGGGATTACAGGCATGAGCCACTGCGCCTGGCCATATTTAGTTTTTAGGCTGGCAACTAATACTTGGACCTCGAATACTATGGTTTACTCATGTTCTTAATTATATTACTAAATAGCCAAATATGTTTATTTTGTTTTTTGATCTTTTTCTTTTCCAAGTATGTTTAAATATTCAAGTCTTGATTCAGAATAACTGATAGGTTACAGAGCATGCAAACCCATTCACAAGCAATCCAACCTTGGCACTGCATAGCTAAGTTTTTGTATAAGGATTTAGACTACCTTCCTAGGAAGCAAAAACTTAATACTCAATTTCCAATTATGTGGATTCCTTTTTCTAAATTCTTGGTTTTGTGCAGTGGCACGATCATAGCTCACCGCAGCCTAAAACTCCTGGGCTCAAGCAATCCTCCTGCCTCAATTTCCTGAGTAGCTAGGACAACAGGCACATGCCACCAGGCCTGGCTAATTTTTTCATTTTTGTAGAGATGGGGTCTTGCTATGTTGCTCAGGCTTGTCTTGAACTCCTGGGCTCAAGCAATCCACTCGCTTCGGTCTCCCAAAATGCTGGGATTACAAGCATGAGCCAATGCACCCAGCTGTTTCTGTTACTTTTAAATAGGTTTCCTGCATTTCTTTTTTTTTTTTTTTTTTTTTTTGAGAAGGAGTCTTGCTCTTTTGCCCAGGCTGGAGTGCAGTGGCGCAATCTCGGCTCACTGCAAGCTCCGCCTCCCAGGTTCATGCCATTCTCCTGCCTCAGCCTCCATAGTAGCTGGGACTACAGGCGCCCACCACCACGCCCAGCTAATTTTTTGTATTTTTAGTAGAGACGGGGTTTCACCGAGTTAGCCAGGATGGTCTCAATCTCCTGACCTTGTGATCCGCCCACCTCTGCCTCCCAAAGTGCTGAGATTACAGGCGTCAGCCCCTGCGCCCGGCCAGGTTTCCTGCATTTCTAATGAAGAAATAGGCTGGTCCTCAATTTTGCAGAAGTTGTATCATCATAGGTCATACCTAACATTCGTTTGTCAAGAGCAAAAAAACCCCCTTGGGTTCTCTGGATCTCACACAGCCCACAAACCTTCAGAATGTGGTTCCTTCCCGCAGGCTTTGTCACACTTAAGATCCAAGAACAAATCAGCCTGGCTTTAACATGGGGTAGATGGCAAGAAGGATAATGGCTAATAGAAGGTTTTAGTCCTTGTATTAGTCCCCATGTTACAGATGACAAAGCTGAGTAACAGAGAGAGTATCCTAACCAAGTTCATCAAGCTAGACACCATGAGACAGTATTCTGTGATGCTGATAGAACATTGGTGACCAGGCTGTGAATGGGTTAGTCCTAACACAGCTGTGCTTAGAAAGTAAAATAAGAGAAGAATGCTTAGGATAGCGAGGCTGATGGATCCAACTAACAACTTACACAAAGGTCTCTGTTGGCTCAAAAAGTTCTAGTTGTGTCTCTCTGGCATTCTGCCCAGTTTCTGCCCTTGAAAAGTAACACTTAAGGAACACTTTAAATAGTGATGAACTTTTCCCTGACTCTTAAAACCATGGACCCACATTTTCATACACCCAATAAAATGTTATTTGTCCCTCTTCTGAACTTCCAGTTCTGAATACATATGGCATTTCATTCATTCATTCAACATTCACGAAGGAGGTATGTACCAGGCAATGGGGACACAAAAGTGAATAAGATATGGTCCCATCCTAGCCTCGAGGAGCACACAGACAAATAAAAAGCCAATTCCTCATACAAGGCTGTAAGAGCTAAGCTAAATGGAAGACAGGATGCTGCAGAAGGCTGCCTCACTCAGACTGAAGGAAGGAGTGTTTTCTGGAAGAAAGGATTCCCCCAGCTGAGTAAGGAAGGATACACAGGAGGCAGTCAGATGAAGAATCAAGGGAGCAAGGGAAGAAATAGTGGCTTTTCAGGCTGCAGCACATGCCACTCCCTGGCCGCGAGAAAGAGTGACGAATCTGTAGATCTGGAAGTAGATCAAGGTGGCTGAGGTTCAAGGACGTGAGAAATGGTAATGGTAAGAGACTGGACTGGGAAGAGTGCTGGTGACCAGAAAATATAGGATCACATACATCGAGTGTTTCTGCAGAATGAGTGTATAACAGAGAATGGATTTTGTTATTTTCCTCATAACACTGTCACAAGAATAGGCAAATTTTTTCGGTGAAGGGCCACACAGCAAGTATTCTGCACTCTGTGGGTCACACGCTATCACTCTCCTTTTTCTTATATCCCTTTAAAAATGCAGAACCCATTCTTAGCTCCAGGCCACAGTTTAGCAACCTCTGTTCTGCTGTGACTTCTTATTTAGTGTCTGCCTTTACTGTGAAGACTGAGCTCTCTGAAGGCAAATACTGTTACCACTGTATCCTCAGTGTCTAGCACAGGGCCTGACACTTAAGGGGCACTCAAATAATTACCTTTTTGAACCCAGGAGAGAAATGACAAGGATCTGCATTAAGTGGGCATAAAGAAGGGGGAAGATTCAAGAGATAGTTAGAAGGTAAAACTTAAAGAGCATGGTAACTGATTAGCAGGAGGTAAGAAGGAACGAGTCAAAAAGAACTTACTACACGTTTTATCTAATCACAATTACTTGTATGTTTCTTATCCTATTAGAATATAAGTGCCTTAAAAGAGAGAATCACATCCTTAACACTGTGTCTAGCACTGTACTGTGCACATAGTGGGTATTCAACTTAATAACTTTTTGAATAAAATTCCCATTATCTTAACCTTTTTTTCATAAACATTAAAGTTTTTCAACAACTAAGAAATTTTCTTGAGGAAAGCAGTATATAGTTGGCCCTCAGTATCCATGGATTCAACCAACAGCCGATGTAAAATATTTGGAAAAAAGACAAAAATAATGATAAAATAATAAAAACAAAAACCAATACAACAACAATTTACATAGCATTATAACTAGAGATGATTAAAAGTATACGAGAGGATGTGCATTTTTTATATGTAGTACTGTGCTATTTTATTTCAGGGACTTGAGGATCTTCAGATTTTGGTATCCTGGGGGAGGTGAGAGTGAGTACTGGAACCAATCCACTGCAGATACTGAGGGATGGCTATACTATCTTTTGGTACTGATATAGAAAACATAATGATTAAAAAACATAATGATTAAAAAATTCCTGGACCTTCCCAACATGCAATGGTTTATAGATTTATGTAAAACCAAATCTGAAACTAGCCCTGTAACTCAGAAAGCTTGGCTTACAATTGTTTAAATTCCAAAAAAAGATTTCATAAATGATACTGAATTATCCACATCCCATTCCTAATCCTTTAGAAAACCGAAAACTAAGCCCGAGTGTTTCCAGCTGAAACAATAAAAATAAAGCAAAGAGGTCCCATTTTTACCACATCTTTATAGCCTAAGAGTTAGGATGCAAGTTTCAGCAATGAGTTTCAACTTCAAAAGAAAAAAACGAAAAACTTTTAAGCATCCAAACAAGCAGACACAGCAAGAGGAAAAAAAATTCTCTGAAGGCGACAATCTACAATTACTCACAGAGCTGCAGCACCAGAGATAATTTCAATCAACTCTTTTGTGATGACAGCTTGGCGGGTACGGTTGAATGTCAATGTCAATTTGTCAATCATCTCAGCTACAAACAAAACAAAAACACTACATAAAAAATCTGAAACTAGAGTAGAATAACTTGTTAACTAACTTCTGTTGCTTAATTTAAAAGTAAGAAATTTTTGGATACCAAAATTGGCCTCTCAAATAATGTTATGAAGATATTTTTACATCTTCCATAGGATACCTTTTCACAGTACTTGCAAATCAACTACCTATCAAGATATACTTTCTTACAGGTACAGGAATATCATGTTAATGTTGTTGATGCTACTCTCGGCCACGGACTCCTCTCAGCTGAGATTCACTGTGTGCTCACAAGCACTCCTGCTGGCACTGTCCATACTGTGTACTTACAAGCATTCTTGCTGGCATTGTCCATGGCTGTCATCCTGGCACTCTGCTCACTAGTGGTGGACTCCTTCAGAGAGTAGTAGATGATGTTGGCCAGATTGTATTCTTGGTAATTTTGCAGCACGTCAGCATCAATATCGTCATAGATACTCATGCTGTCTGTTAAAACAAGTGATGAGTTTCTTTCAAGTTATATGGAAGGAATAGTAATTCATCAAAAACAGCTTTTCAGTGTAAAACTCCTTTATAATTACAGAGCAGAAATTAATGCTAGATAAGGTAAATGAATCTGTTCTAATAATGTCATCTATTTCCACACTACAGATGATAGCATATTTTTAGCAAAATATAATGTGTAAATAAACCATTTGATATTCTACTCCACATGTGTAACTTTAGAAAAATTAGGTCAACATTTGAAATAACTGCACTATATCTCGTGGTTATGAAGCCCTCTGGACAGCATTAGCATGTGCCTGTTACAAAGCCAGCAAGCACTCAATGCTTTTTCCAGTAAAAAAGAATAATAATGAATTGAAACGAATTTAGTGTAATACAGGTTGAGCATCCCTAATCCCAAAGTCCAAAATCTGAAGTGCTCCAAAATCTGAAACATTTTGAGCACTGACGTGATGCCACAAGTGGAAAATTCCACACCTGACCTTGTGTGATGGGGTGCATTTGAAACTTTGTTTCATGCAGAAAATTCTTTAAAATATTGCATAAAATTGCCTTCAGGCTATGTGTATAGGGTGTACAGACTCAGGTCCTGTCCCCAAGATACTGCATTATAAATATGAAAATATTCTGAAATCCCAAACATTTCTGGTCCTAAGCATTCACACAAGGGATACTCAACCTGTGCAGTAATTCCAACTTAGTCATTTGATTACTGAAGAAATCTGAATGTATCAATCTGGAAAATGAGAGAGGGAAAACCTTTCAAAGCACATGAAAGAGTGGGAGAACTAGAAATTGGTATGAAT
The DNA here is from genome assembly GCF_000001405.40 of Homo sapiens. Lineage (NCBI taxonomy): Eukaryota > Metazoa > Chordata > Mammalia > Primates > Hominidae > Homo > Homo sapiens. The sequence goes on along the minus strand of NC_000010.11, from coordinate 7,801,442 downwards.
CGTAGTTTTAATGTTGTAGAAATTTAGAAGTACATTTCAAAATTCATTCATTGGGGTCAAGTGGTGACACAGTACTATATATTATCAAAATACTATATTTCATTAAATGGTACTGGTTGTAACACCTACTTTATTTCTCATTAAGAGAGAAAAAAATGTACTCAATTATAAATGATGTTCCATTGGCTGGTAGAGCCATCTCAATTTCAGAAACATTAACGTGTAAAGTACATACTTGAAAATAAATGAAGTATTAGAAAATAGATGGTATATACAAGGGAAAAAAGCCTTAGAAAACTAAAATCAGTTCCAGAATATTATTCCAGGATGCTTCAATGATCAATGATGACTTTATTCCAACAATAAAACAAGAGAATTGAGTCAGTCAATGTAAATTAGCTGTGAACACTGTTCAACTCTCTATTCTAGAGCTTCTGTTTTATTGTAGTTAGAGGTCCCAAACATAACTTGCAAAGCCAGTTTCTAGCTACGCTCTTCAATCCTTGAGGACAAAAAAATCTAATGATGAACCTCAATAGATACTGACTTTTCAATTAATGACAGAATAGAGCAGGAGTTATCAAACAATGACTGAATTAAGTATCATGGAAGTCAAGAGATGGCACTTCTCAGAAACAGCCCCAGATCGGCCGGGTGCAGTGGCTCATGCCTGTAATCCCAGCACTTTGGAAGGCCAAGGCAGGTGGATCACTTGAGGGCAGGAGTTCAAGACCAGCCTGGCGAACACGGTGAAATGCTGTCTCTACTAAAAATACAAAAATTAGCCAGGCGTGGTGGCGTGCACCTGTAATCCCAGCTACTTGGGAGGCTGAGGCAGGAGAACGGCGTGAACCCGGGAGGCGAAGGTTGCAGTGAGCCGAGATCATGCCATTGCACTTCAGCCTGGGTGACACAGTGAGACTCCGTCTCAAAAAATAAAAAATAAAAAAATAAAAGGCTGGGCTCATGCCTGTAATCCCAGCACTTTGGGAGGCCGAGGCGGGTGGATCACGAGGTCAGGAGATTGAGACCATCCTGGCTAACATGGTGAAACCCCGTCTCTACTAAAAATACAAAAAATTAGCCAGGCTTGGTGGCGGGTGCCTGTAGTCCCAGGTACTAGGGAGGCTGAGGCAGGAGAATGGTGTGAACCCAGGAGGCGGAACTTGCAGTGAGCCGAGATGGTGCCACTGCACTCCAGCCTGGGAGGCAGCAAGATTCCATCTAAAAAAGAAACAGCCCCAAATCATTTGCTATAGCTACCACCAGATATCTTGACACTGTCTGCCTTAGTGTACAAATCTCTCCATTCTATATGCCAAAAAATATGTATCATAGAAAAACTACTTACCAGCACTTGCAACGGTATTAAGGGAAAAGATGGGCTTTTCTTCTGTCTTATAGGAGATGACAGACCTAGAATTGACAAAAACAAATGTAAATCTCAAAATAATTTTTAAACTGTTATTTCAAAATATGAACAAAAGCATGAACATAAAAAAGCTTTGATTTCTAAATCTGTCTTGCCTGAATTTATTAAAGATGATGGAGCCTTCATCAAATTCATATCCAGAATTTAGTAATTCAAGGGCAATGACTGACGCATCTCCAAAAGTGGGGGGCTTTCTTCCCACTTCTTTGAATGCCACCAGAAACTGGTCAGAATGAGTCCTATAAGAAAAGCAAGAGCTCACATAGCTAGTTTAATAAGATTTCTGCTGAAAGAGCACAGGGGACAGGCAGGAGAAAACATTGTCACCATGGATCAGGTCTTTTGGGGTATGGGTGGTGGTGATTTCCTGAGTTGTTCCACACACTATCATCATTCCTTTCCTTCAGCACCTGCAAAGAACTAAGAACTAAAAATGAGGTCTGTTTTATATTCTTTTCCCCTTTATTCCTCTCCTTCTAATCCTAATGAACTATTGCTAACATTTCCAGGCTGTAACAGCTCCTCAGATGCCTCATTTGGCTTAATGCTGATAGCTTTTGATATTCACATGGCATTCAACTTATGATCCGGATGAAGAAGCAAAGGTAGAAAACAGGGGAAGGAAAACAGAAATGTTCCAATATATCCTGGAAAAAAGAAAAAGGAAACAAACACCCCCTTGTGAATATACCAAAAAAGGCCCTGAAGAATATACCTTGTTATTGATGAAGGTTTTGAGAGTTTGTCAAAACTTTTGAGAGAAGATTTATTCGTGCTTACATCTTTATGAAAATAAACAATATATATTTAAATTACCTATAAAGTATGCCTCTGATTTTGTCACCAATTCCAACAAGCATAACTTCTTTCCCAGCTGCTGTTAGTGTAGCAACCTCGCTTTTCATCTGTTTAGCAATGGAGGAATGAATAGCACCACACAGTCCTCGATCTGAGGACACACCAATAAGGAGGTGTTTCTTCTTGTCTTCAGGCCCCTTGATATCAGCTTTTTCATACAGAGCTTAAAAACAAACAAAAGCAGTAATTTTTTTATATGCAATACACTAAATACAATAAATCTCTAATTTACAAAGCAGTTGGTTATTTCCAAAATACGCATTTAAATTTAGCTGGCAACTGCCTAGTGTAAGCAGGTGTTCTTAGGACAGCTGTAAGCTGAGGCCGGGCACAGTGGCTCACGCCTGTAATCCCAGCACTTTGGGAGGCCGAGGTGGGCGGATCACCTGAGGTCAGGAGTTTGAGACCGGCCTGGCCAACGTAGTGAAATCCCGTCTCTATTAAAAATATAAAAATTGGCTGGGCACGGTGGCTCACGTCTGTAATCCCAGCACTTTGGGAGGCCAAGGCGGGCGGATCACAAGGTCACGATATCAAGACCACGGTGAAACCCCGTCTCTACTAAAAAATACAAAAAAATTAGCCAGGCGTGGTGGCGGGCGCCTGTAGCCCCAGCTACTTGGGAGGCTGAGGCAGGAGAATGGCGTGAACCCGGGAGGCAGAGCTTGCAGCAAGCTGAGATTATGCCACTGCACTCCATCCCGGGAGACAGAGCTAGACTCCGACTCAGAAAAAAAAAATACAAAAATTAGCCAGGTGTGATGGTGGGGGCCTGTTAATCCCAGCTACTGGGGAGGCTGAGGCAGGAGAATCGCTTGAGCCTGGGAGGGGGAGGTTGTAGTGAGCTGAGATTGCACCATTGCACTCTAGCCTGGGCAACAGAATGAGACTCCATCTCAAAAAAAAACACAAAAAGAAAACAAACAAAAAACAACAACAAAACACACACACACACATAAAAAAACAAAGGACAGCTGTCAGTTGAGATACTGAGGATTTGGTAGATAAATAGGGGGTTCACTGCATGATCTTCTTTACTATCAAATATGCATAAATCTTCCTTAAGTTAAAAATTCTTTTAGATAGCCTCAACTCAGGATAAGACAGCATGATCATAAAAAAGTTAAGAGAAAGAATGTAATTACAAGTTAAAATAGAAACTTCTTTCCCATTTCCAGCTCTTTACAACTTTATTTCCAAGATGAATTCATAATCAAACAAGTATAAAAGCATCTAAAAACACAATATAAATTCTTTTTAAACTGTCATATCTCATCTCTTTTCCATTAAGAAGACTAATTAAGGATGGATTACATAAATTTCTGAAGGAAAAATGTCTTCATGCTTTTGAAAAGATAAGAATGGTGATTAAGTATCTTGAAAATGGAGGTTCTCAGCTGCTTTTCCTGCTTCAACATCGTTCGGATTCTCAAAACACCATCATGAGTCATATCCATGACCACAAGGCCAGCTCTCCACTGCACTGCCCCTCACCCGCCCCCGCTGCAGTCCTAAAATGCCACACTACAAGGTCATAGGATGAAATTAAGCCCTTACATCTAACGCACGGTTTCCAAGTTCTTCTGATGGTATACTTAACAACTGGGAACATTTCAGAATATTTTAAAAGTTAACATGGTCACGTATAATGGCTAACAAATACACAGACTCGACACCAAACCACATAGGTCCAAACAGAGGCTCTTCATCCTTTTATATGTGATCTTAGGCAAGTTACTTAACTTCTGTGTGCTTCAGTTTTTCTCACTGGAAAGCAGGGATTCTAACAGTCCCTACCTGTACTACCTACACGGGTTGTTATCATTACGTGTCAAGTGGATGTAGATGAAAAATAAGTACATGGCAAGTGCTCAGATAGGCTTGACATCACTGTAAGCTCTAAATGTAAGTCATCAGTAGTCTTCCTTGTGTGAAACAGTTCTTCCTAATTTGTGAATTACACTCTTCCCTTACCTAAAGATCCCAATCCATATATTCGAGCTGGTTTCAGCTCTCTCTCAGCTCGGGCATATTTTGCTGCCGCTACCATTTTCATAGACTTGGTAATTTTCTGGATGTTTTTGATGGACTTTAGTCTCCTGGTGACTGAAAAATAGAAGTACTGTGTTAAGACAAAGGAATTACAGTATAACTTCCTTGTGAATTTATTGACATATTTTTCTGAAGTGCAAGGCAGAATAATGAGCGCTTAGATAAACAATAAACAGCACGATGCTAAACCAGTCTTAATATTAGAACTAGTACTAATAGCCGGGCACGGTGGCTCACGCCTGTAATCCCAGCACTTTGGGAGGCTGAGGTGGGCGGATCACGAGGTCAGGAGATCAAGACCATCTTGGCTAACACGGTGAAACCCCGTCTCCACTAAAAATACAAAAAATTAGCCGAGCGTGGTGGCGGGCGCCTGTAGTCCCAGCTACTCGGGAGGCTGAGGCAGGAGAACGGCGTGAACCCGGGAGGCGGAGCTTGCAGTGAGCCGAGATGGCGCCACTGCACTCCAGCCTGGGTGATAGAATGAGGCTCCATCTCCAAAAAAAAAAAATAGAAATAGTACTAATAAAAGGAAGGCAAAACTAGCTACTACTTAGGACAAGCAAATGGCAACATAAGACAATAATATACATTTAAAACATTAAATGGTATTGAAAGTTGCCTTAACCACATATTCCATAACATTATTTATATATAACATGATTTACCCCTTCCCACACATACACCCACCTACACCAACACTGGTATAATTTTTTCTAGTTATATCATGATCATTCTACAAACAACAGAACATAGCTGTCTCAGGTGTCCTTTCTTACTGGTCTTTTCAGAACAAGTCCAATGTCCCAAACATACAATGGAAATCCATTTGGTCAGTTTTGATCAAATACACAATGGGCTAAAGCAGTATATTTTTGAAAGTATTTGTATTTGTCAAAATTTAGTTTTTCTCAATTCACATATTGAGACAAACAACATACTTACTATCTTTCAAAGTTGCCATATTTCGAACTTGAATCCTGAGGATAAAAGTTTTAAAAATGTTTCAGTTTTTTGAAAAATAGTTCCATTATACAAGAAAAACTTTCAGTTAATATATATTTATTTAAAGAATACCCCATAAAGAAACAATCTATCAAATACAGGACTCAGAATGTATATGAATAGACATATATTTAAATCCCTTAGTAGTGGCGCAAATCCCTGTATTGAAGGCCTCCTTTTATTTGGCCTGTCTGTACCACCACCTTCCCAGAAGTCAACATGCTCTATTGACTCACACATGCTCTAGTCCCACCTCCATATCTTTGCTTATCTTGTTTCCATGACAGAAAAGCCCCTCCCCTTGTTAAGCTGCCCAACTATACTTCGAATCAAGGCCAGCCACTCTAAAAATTTCCTTAGTTCACAGCAACCTCTTCCAGTAACAGAGTCAATGATATAGTCGAACATGACTACACGTGTAAAAGTAGTTTATATAAACTGATTCTTAACTTTTTCAATTTAGCTCAATAAACATTTACCAAGATGCTCTAAATTCCAGGCACTGGTAAACACGACATGGTCTCTGACATATTGTTACCTTGTAAACAAGGTTCATAAAAAATTACATTTACATAACATTTAGTATTTTTTTTCAAGTCTTTAAAATTGAAATGCTAATGTGCAGAAGTCAAAATGATTAGGCTTAAATGAAATGTTGGTGAAAGATGAATATGAGAGAATTCCTGGCCTAATGGGGGAAGACATGCTAAAAAATATTAGATGATCTTTCTGCCTTCAAATCCATACAAAGTGCCTGTGTTTGCAGGCAAAGCTACACAGGAGAACTGAGCATGATGAAATGTGTGCACAAAGTAGAGATGTGAGGAGGGGATTCTCGGGAACAGAATGTCATTTTAAGAGCATTCATGATCAGGAAAGAGTGAGAAATGGAGAAGGGGAAACTGGACACATGAGTTGGGTTTGTTACTTTAAATAATTAATATTTTTAAATATCAAAAAAAGCAAATTGGTTTAAATCTTATTTGTAGGTTAATAGGGAAATGAATGTTTATAAGCCCACAAATCAGTTTAGTATTTCAGCAAAGTATCTCACATGGCAGTGACAAGCGTAAAATGAGGTTGGAGTTTTGATGAACACAGAAGACATGGGGATGTAGGCTGCCACAGCCTCAGGAGAGACCTCAAGAACCTGGATGAAGATGCTGGCAAAGCAATAGGAGACTAGATTTGCAAGCATTTAACTTCTTCACATGTACATTCGTAGTAGAAAGGAAAGCAGTAAGAATGATCTAAGGTTTCTCTAATTGAATGACCTTGGTGGACAGTGACTAATATCTCTCATGAGCATAGGTTAGAGGCAAAAATCCTCAACAGTGTATTAGCAAATCAAATCCAACAATGTATTAAAAATAATTATACACCATCACTACGTGGGATTTACTCCAGGTATGCAAAGCTGGTTCAATATTAAAAAATCAAATAATATAATCTATTACGTCAACAGGTTAAAGAAAAAATCATACAATCAATAGGTGCAGAAAAAGCATCCAACAAAATCTAACACCCAGTCATGAAAAAGTCTCTCAGCAAACTAGGAATAGAGAACTTCCTCAACCTGCTAAAAAAAAAAAAAACAACACACAAAATCTCTGATTTAATGGGAGAGGCTAGGAGCTTTCCCCATAAGATTGCGAACAAGACAAGGAAATCCCCACTCATCACTCTTCTTCAGTATCATACTGGAAGTCTTAGCTAATGCAGTAAGACAAGAAAATAAGAGGCATAGAAATTTGAAGGGAAGGAATAAAACTGTTTTTGTTCATAGATGACATGATTATCTATGTAGAAAATCCCAAAGAATAAAAATAGCCCCTCCTAGAACCAATAAGCATTTATGACAAGGTTGCAGGATATAAGGTTAGTGTATATAAAAAGCTAGTTGCATTCCTCTGCAGCAGCCCTGAACTACTGGAGTATGAAGTTAAAAATGCCCGCACACAATTGTATGGTTAAAATGATAAACTTCATGTTCCATGTGTTTTACAATTTTAAAAATCCATTAGAATCTCAGCAAGTTTGATTTTAGTTGATATCTATTTTGTGGATATCAATAAACTGATTTTCAAGGTTATATAGGAAGGCCAAAGACCTAGAAAAGTCAAACAATATTGTCAGGACTGACACTACCTGACGTTAAGACCTCCTCTAAAGTTACAGTAATAAAAAAGCAAAAGCAATTCAAGGAAAAAAGGATATTCTTTTCAACAAACAAATGGCACTGGAACAACTGGACACTAATATGCAAAAATATTAATCTGTACAATGACTTTACAAATTTAATAAAAATTAACTTAAAATGAATCACAGGCCTAAATATAAAATGCCAAACCATAAAACTTCTACAAGATACCACAGGAGACAATCCAGGTGCCTTGGGTTTGGCAATGAGTTTTTAAACACAACACCAAAAGCATGATCCATGACAGAAAAAAATGAGTTGGGCTTTATTGAAATTTAGAACTTCTGTCCTGTGAAAAATACTGTGAAGAGAATGAAAAGTCAATCCACAGGCTGGGAGAAAATATTTCTAAAACTCATCTCTGATAAAGGACTTGTATCCAAAACAAACAACTCTTAAAATGCAATAAGAGAACAAACAACCCAAATAAAAAAAATGGGCAAAAGATCTGGAAACTTCACCAAAGAAGATCAACAGATGGCAGGGCCAGGTGCGGTGGCTCACGCCTATAATCCCAGCACTTTGGGAGGCCGAGGCAGGCGGATCACGAGGTCAGGAGTTCCGAGACCAGCCTGACCAACATGGTGAAACCCCGTCTCTACTAAAAATACAAAAAATTAGCCAGGCGTGCTGGTGGGCACCTGTAATCCCAGCTACTCAGGAGGCTGAGGCAGAAGAATCGCTTGAACCCAGGAGGTGGAGGTTGTGGTGAGCAGAGATCGTGCCATTGCATTCCACCTGGATGACAGAGCAAGACTCTGTCTCAAAAAACAAAAACAAAAACCAACCAGATGGCAAAAAGCACATAAGATGATGCTCAGTATCATGTCATTAGAGAACTGCAAGTTAAAACAGTAAGATATCACTACACACCTGCAAGAATGGATAAAACCCAAGAAACTGACCAGCAAATGATGATGAGGATGTGGAGCAAAAGGAACTCTCATTGATGGCTGGCAGAATGTAAAATAGTACACAGCCACTTGGGAAGATGTTCTGGTAGCTTTTTACAAACCTAAACCTAGTCTTAACTTACCCAACTGAGATGAAATGTTATGTCCACATAAAACCTACACAAGAGCATGTAAAGCAGCTTCATTCATGATGCCAAAAGTTGGAAGCAACCCAGATGTCCTTCAATACATGAATGGATAATCTAACTCTGATACATCCATACAATGGACTATTATTCACCAAAACCACAAAGGAGCTATTAAGTTATAAAAAGGCATGGAGAAACCTTAAGTGCATACTGCTAAGGGAGAGAAGGCCATCTGAAAAAAAGCAAATACTGTATGATTCTGGCTATGTGACATGCCAGAAAAGCCGAGGATCTAGCAATAGTTGAGAGAAGTGGTTGTCAGGGTTTTGGGGAGAGTAGAGGAGGGATTTTTAGGGCAGTGAAGCTCTTTGGCATGATATTGTAATGGTGGATACATGTCATTATGCATTTGTCCAAATCCGTGGAACTGTATAACAAAAAGAGTGGATCTTTGTTTTTTGCGGTTTGAAGACAGGGTCTCACTCCCCTCACCCAGGCTATAGTGCAGTGGTGTGATCATGGCTTCCTGCAGTCTCAACTTCCTGGGCTCAGGTGATTCTCCCACTACAGCACGAAAAATATTAGGTTTGGTTTTAAGAATGAATCTACTAAAGGAAAAGATAAAAGCTGGCAAATCCTGACAAGCTCTGTTATTTCAGAGCACAAACTACCTGCCATGACTGTTCTACTACAACAGCTTTTCATAATCACACTTGAAAAGTAATACCAGTTTTTGGTCAACCTTCCTTTTTTGGTGTAGTAATGACTTTTCTCCCTGAACACAAAATTTATTGGTTATAACAAGTCACTCTTGGATATTATTGTTTTAGGCAGACACTTCAACTGACACAAGTTTCTAGTCAGAGAATACCATATGGTATAAATTTGAATTGAATACCATATTTGGACAAACACAGAATGTTTTGGTTTCCTTAAGTACTCCAAGTCAGAGGTATGAAGAGGTAGCATCTTTTGTGATAATGCTACGCATTTGCCCTAATTTCATGTGTTTTAAAGCACTCTCATGTTTAGCTTTCATTTAATTCTGAAGACGTCTATGTTACTACTTTAATTGTTAGGTACAATTTGAGTAAGAACAGTGATGAGCTAATTGAACTCTCTTTAGGGATAGCTTCCTTTATTAAATATAAAAGTTTTGCAAATGAGGAGATAAAGCTCTGAATCATTGCACGTCCTGAGATCCTCGGGAGACTAAGAAACACAGTGGAGGGAGAATCAAATGGACCGTGGATTACCACTATCTACCATGATTCCACAGCGCTGTTATAACAGCTGACGAAGGCAGTGGAGGAGGGAGTCAGGAATGACACCCTTCCAAGAAACTATTGTTTGAGAGATTTTTAAGGAGTATATTAAGATACATAAAAACTTAAAAAGCAAGCAATATTGGCTAATTCTCAACGAAAATTATGAAGTGACTCTAATTCTGATATTAAGCGTGTAAAAGTCCATTACCTGCCACCAGCAAAAACTGACTCCTTCACACTTACCTAACCCACACCCATGACTGCATCATCTTTTTTTTTTTGTTTTTGAGATGGAGTCTCACTGTGTCGCCAGGCTGAAATGCAGTGGCACGATCTCAGCTCACTGCAACCTCCGCCTCCCGGGTTCAAGCAATTCTCCTGCCTCAGCCTCCCGAGTAGCTGGGACTACAGGTGCGTACCACCACGTCTGGGTAATTTTTGTATTTTTAGTACAGACAGGGTTTCACCATGTTGGCCAGTATGGTCTTGATCTCCTGACCTTGTGATCCGCCCGCCTCGGCCTCTCAAAATGCTGGGATTACAGACGTGAGCCACTGCGCCTAGCCCGACTGCATCTTCTTTTCCTCTTTTCGCAAGTCCAAGCAATCTTCTTACATTACATTTGATGTAGAAACTGTACTTAAAAACTCTTCATTTCTCTACTGATATACAGCATTTGGATCCCTATCAGCATTTCCCCCATTGTCCTACATGCTTTGCAAATACTCTAATCCTCACACTAACCCACTGAATTGTGCACTTTTATTGCATATATTTGACAGATGAGGAACTGGTGGGACAGACACTGAGTAACCTGCCCAAGGTCACAGAGCTGCTAAGTGGCAATCAGAATTCAATCCCTGCCGTCTGAATGCAGCCCTTCAGGGCTGGCTACAGAGTCTCTCTCTTCATACAGTACTACACTCTGCTGCCTCACATTTTTTACATTTATTAGTAAATATCTGCCCTCATGGTCTCAGATGACAATTTGTCTTTTCTCTCCTGAAATGCCATCTCCTTATCGGTATCTGTAGTTTATGACTACTGACACGTTATTAAAAAACAGTTCCATTTTAGAGACTACTGAACTCTAAGAAATAGAAATGTTTTTCCCAAATTTGAAGACAGTAAAATCCGGGATTCTTTCTCTCAAATTTTTAATTTCCATTTTCTTATATGCTGCTTTAAAAAAAAGGTTTAATTTTCAAAACGTTAGAGTATTTTGCCGATACCCTAACAACTATTAAAATAACCACTGTGAATTTAAGTAAGCCTAATGTTTTTATGTTAGCATGGTAGCCTCTCTGAAAACAAAAACTAAAATAACAAATTGTACTTTAAAAAACTTCCAGTAATCAAGACAGAAGCATGGAAATATGCCTCTTCATGGTTCGTTAAGACAAAGGTCTTTTCTTCCCCTTCCAAATTAATTCTGTGGAGTGGTTTTAATTTCTGAATTCAAAAGGCAATTATAATTCATGGAAAGAGAAATGGCAGAAGAGGAAGGAAAGACATTAAGCACCAGCAGTGAAGGAATACATGAAAAGAAGAAGACAGAATATGCTTTCATAGTGGAACACTGTTGATTGATGATTTATAAAACCAATATTCCAAAGGGATTAAGGTCAGGATTAGGACCTTTATATGCTGATTGTGGTTCCGATTTAAGCTCCTAACAGTAGTTGTCTTGAACTGAGAGCTCTTATTTAAAACAATCCTTCACTAAAAGAGCTTCAAATTATCTTACAGGTGCTTTAAAAAAAGATATTTCTAAAATTTTTTGTAAAATATTGTCTTTGTTTCAGAAACTATTTCCACTTTTTTAAAGATCAACTTAGAAACTAAGGTTGTAAAAATACTGACAGATAACATTAATGCGTGGCAAGAAGGTAAGGCCAGGAGAGCTGATGTTCGCAGAGCACCACTGCATGCCAGGCACTGTCCCAGGAAACTGACTGAGACCTTATCTATTTGCTCACCATCACATTTGGGCACTTTCCAAGTACCACCGGGTGGAGTGGAAGCACTCAGCTAATGTCTGCTGAGTGGTTAACAAGTGGGACAATCTATACAACTGAGAATTCAACTACAGTGACCTTTTAATTCCCATGAATGTTCTTTTTCCATATTAGAGAAAAAAAAATCTGACTTCCAAGGCCAAGCCACCAAAAATTTTATGTGGCTAATTCACATCAGATATCATTCTGAAAATCTCGTATATTACTATCAGTTATTTGCTTAATGAAAAACCTATTTATTTCAACTAATGCTTTATGGTCCCTTCATATAAATTAGGATACGAAAATCTAGTTTAGCACTGTAGCGCCTTAGAAATCCTCCACACTGTTAAGAGCAGGGAATTGCTACGACACAGCCTAGAATCCCCTTAGCAGCGTGTCTGGAATTCTTCCAGATTCCGTCAAGCTTCAAAACTGAACAGCACCACCCACAAACCAACTTTTACCTGCCCATTCCCGGGCCTTCTAATATGCACTTCCCCCAGCCCAGGTCCCCCTACCCGGAACTAATGTTTAAAATTCTCGAGGCTCGTGGCACCCTTTAGTTGCATGTCAGTTAACAAATGCCACTTAAAAGCCCACCGAACTCCTCCCCCAGGACCTGGGGGCAATTTCATGACCTTGCAGGGTTACGGTTTCAGCAAGTGGTTTCAAGGTAGTGCTAGGTGTCCTTCCCTTCCCCGCCCTCAGACAGATCTGTACGGTCCCTTCTGCACCAAAACCACCCTCAGAGGCATCTAGGATGTTCGCCTTTGCTGTTGCAGCACCCAGCAAAGCGTCTGCAACACGGGAGGTGCTCGACGGCCGCGCTCTCTGACTCGATCGAATCTTAAAGGGTCACTCTGTCCAGCACTACAGGGTTTCAAAGGGCGTCAAGGACAAAAAGCACGACTTAACCTTCCCCTGGGCTATTGCTCAGGCTCCCGTCACCTTGCAGGCCCTGAGACTGGGGGCCTGGCTTGCAGTGGAAGTGGAAGCTCAGGAAGTGCTGATTAGCTGAGGGAACTCAAGACCGCCCAGACGTCAATTTGGACTCAGGCCGCAGTCCCGAGGTCCCAGGTGGCCCTCCGACCTCAGGGAACCGGGCGGGACCTTGCTCCGCCGGAGCCCGGCCCTGCGCACACCTTGCCCGACCTCAGAGCCGCTTCCTGCAGCCCCCGCTACCCGGCGCCTCCGACGGGCCAGGGGCCCAGCTAGGCCCTGCGACCCCACATCTGCCCCCGCGCCCATCTCCTCCTCCCTGCCCCGTGCCCAAGCTCTTCCATCCCTTGCGGTCCTGCCGATCTTCCCGCAAGCTGCCATACCATTGCGGCTGCAAGGTCCAGGCCGACAGCCCAGCGACACCCGCGCGAGAGAACATGGTAGCCACAGCCCTGCTGAAGGTCGGTCAGGCAGGCCTCAGCGCGCATGCGCCGAAGCTCCCCAGCGCGCCCCTCCCACCTTGCTCTCTTCTTCAGTCTCGTTTCTTCGCGCTACGGCGAGGGGAGTCTCGCGACCGTTGCAACCCAGTCTTCCCAGGCCCCACCTCCTTCCGCCTCTCAGCTGGGATTTGTCCCGCCCACCGCCGCCAGCCCGGTTCCGTTTCCGGCTGGCTGAGTACTGGGGTCCAGAAAGTGATCGCTGCCGTGGTCGCCATGGGGAAGTCGGATTTTCTTACTCCCAAGGCTATCGCCAACAGGATCAAGTCCAAGGGGCTGCAGAAGCTACGCTGGTATTGCCAGATGTGCCAGAAGCAGTGCCGGGACGAGGTGAGTGGGCCCGGAGTGGCCCCGTCTTCCCAGGAGGGCCCCTGGCAATCCAGGATCAGGTCCTGGACGCGGGGCTGAGGGCGCGGGGCTGGGGCTCCCGGGGTCCGGGTCGTGAGGCTTCTGAGGTCTGCAGTGGGCGAGTCAACTACTCAGCGCACGAGAGCCGTCCCTCCCCGCAGCCCCCGGGCCCAGCGGGCAGCCTGTGTTCTGCGACCCCTCATTCCTCCCCAGTCCGATCCCCACCACCAAAGAAATGAAATCAGAAAAGGTTTTGCACCCCTCACAGGGGCGGGGATACTGCAATACTAGACGCCCGGGCAATGCCAGTAACAGTCATCAGCTCTTACTTGACTTGACTCTTAAGAGAAACAGGGTGGTTAGGATTCACTCCTCTTTTGGGATCAGGTGAAAAAGGAGAGCTAAGCTCTTCCACACTACTCATCTAGCAAGCATTTATTGAGCACCTACACTGTACCGGGCACAGAATAATATTGTGGTTAAAATTATGGATTTATCTGGTTTATGGATATATCAGACTGTCAAAATTTAAAGTCAAGCAGGGCCACTTACCAACCGTGTGGTCTTGGGCAAGTTATTTACTTATATTCCCCTTTACTTATCTGTAAAGAGGGAATAATAATTTCACCTACTTGTAGGATTGTCGCTGAGTTTTAAATGAGTGAAGTATATATAGAGTGGCTCAAGGAGTCTGGGCAGATCTCGAAAAGCCTTATATGGCTACACTATGGAATTTACACTTTTCCCCATTAAAGAGGTGGTTGATTGAATGCTGTGCAGGCTAGTGATGTGATCATATTTTTCTCCGGAGATTGGACTGGATTGGGTAAGGGTGGAAGAACACTGAGGCAATTGGAATAATCTAATCCAGTGTTTCTGCAAGTGAAGGAAGAGGTATTTTAGGTAGGACTCATACTAATATTGATACAGTTACTCTCTTTAGTTCTATTAAGGAATACCTGTATATGCATTATCTAATGTCTTAGTCTGCTTGGACTGCCATATAAAGTGCAGTAGACTGGGTGGTTTAAATGACAGAAATTTATTTCTCACAGTTCTGGAGGCTGGGAAGTTCAAGATCAAGGTGCTGGCATGGTCAGATTCTAGTGAGGGTCCTCTTCTTGGTTTGCGAAACTGCCTCTATCCTCACAAAGCAGATAGAGCAAGCTCTAATAGAAACTTCTCTTCCTCTTTTTTTTTTTGAGATACGGTCCCACCCTGTTCATCATGCAGGCTCTACCCTTGTGACCTCATCTAAATCCAGTCATCTCCAAAGGCCCACCTTTTAATTCCATTCCCTTGGGGGTTAGGGTTCAATATATGAACTTTGAGGGGACGCAGACATGCAGTCTGTAACACCCAGACTTAACACTTTAAGTAATTTTGCCGTATTTACTTTTTAAAAAATATTTTAAGGTAAATACCAATATCAGGATATTTCACCTTTAAATACTTAAATAGGCATCTCTAAAATTTCAGGATACTTTTCTATATAACCATAGTATATGTCATCAACATAACACAATTAATAGAAGTTCCTCTTTATCATCTAATACACATTCACACTTCCTCAGTTGTCCTCCAACTGCTCCTTGAAATCAAGATTCGATCAAAAGCAATAGACTGTTATAGGTTTGGTTATTAGGACCTCCGCTCCCCTCTCCAGTCTCCCTCATCATCAACATCCTGCAACGAGGTGTTATATTTGTTACCATGGATGAAACTACATTGACACATCAGTATCATCCAGAATCCATAGTTTACATTAGGGTTCACTCTTGGTGTTGTACATCCTATGGGTTTTGACAAATGCATAATGATACGTATTCACCATTATAAAATCTCACAAAATAGTTTAACTGCCCAAAAAGTCCTCTGTGCTCTGAGTTATTAGGACTTTTAGTTTTCTCCAAATTTAATTTTCTCTATATTCTGAATTTAGAATATAACCCATTTTCCCTCCACCCCTTTTTCTTTTTTTTTTTTTTCTAGACAGAGTCTCACCTGTCTCACAGGCTGGAGTGCAGTGATGCGATCTCAGCTCACTGCAACCTTTGCCTCCCGGGTTCAAGTGATTCTCATGCCTCAGCCTCCCAAGTAGCTGTCCCAGCTACTTTACAGGCTGGGATTACAGGTGCCTGGCACCACACCTGGCTAATGTTTGTATTTTTGGTAGAGGCGAAGTTTTGCCACGTTGGCCAGGCTGGTCTCAAACTCCCGACCTCAGGTAATTCACCTGCCTCGGCCTCCCAAGGTGCTGGGATTACAGGTGTGAACCACTGCGCCCAGCCGTCTTTTTCTTGACATTGACTTGTTGAAGAGAGGAGGCCAGGCTGTTGTCCTGTAGCATCCCATATATGTTGACTTGTTTCCTCTGGTTGTCTTTTGCCTTCTAACTCGTAGTTTCTGTCAACTGGAAATTATATCTAAAAGCTTTGATTGGGTTAGATTAAACATTTTGGGGAGAAAGAATACTTTGTAGGTGATCTTGATAGATTAATTTCAGGTTAAACATTTGCAGGGAGGAATATGATTTTTTTTTTTTTTTTTGAGACAAGGTCTCAATTGGTAGCCCAGGCTCGTGTACAGTGGCGCGATCATGGCTCACTGCAACCTTGACCTTCCCAGCTCAAGCAATCCTCCTCCTGCCTCAGCCTCCCAAGTAGCTGGGACCACAGGTGATTGCCACCATGCCTAATTAACTTTTTTATTTGTATAGAGATAGGGTCTCCCCATGTTGCCCAGGCTGGTCTCAAACTCCTGAACTCAAGCACTCCTCCTGCCTCGGCCTCCCAAAGTGCTAGGATTACAGGCTCAAGCCACCATGCCCAGCCTATAGTATTCTTTATAGGTGATCTTGTATATCTCATATAGCATCATATAAGGAAGCCAATAATGTTTGGTAGTACTTAAATTGAGTAAAGGTGACAGCTTGTAAATAATATTAGAAAGTATTATTTTCCCCCTTGTAAGAGCAAGTGAGTATTGGGGTAATACTTAGAAATCATACCTATATATCTAGTTTCCCATTAACCTTTTACCTGTGTGTTTTAGCATCCTTGCCTGAGTCAGTTATTTTATTAGGAGTTGCAAAGAGGTTATTTTTCTAATTTTTTTTTAACATTTATGATTGGCTGCCATGCTTTTGTACAAATGAGCTTTTGCTCATCAACTAGGGCTATTTGGTTATCCTTAAACTTATTTTTTTTTGTTTTTGAGACAGGGTCTTACTCTTGCCCAGACTGGAGTACAGTGGCTCGATCATAGCTCACAGCATCCTCCAACTCCTGGGCTTAAGCAATCCTCCCGCCTCAGCCTCTCAAGTAGCTGGGACTATAGGCACATACCACCCATGCCTGGCTAATTTTCAAAAAATATCTTGTGGAGATGGAGGTCTCATTGTGTTGCTCAGGTTGGTCTTGAACTCGGAGGCTCACACAATCCTCCTGCCTTGGCCTCCCAAAGTGCTGGGATTACAGGCATGAGCCACTGTGTCTGGCCATCCTTAAATGTTAAACTGAGATGCAATTTTTTTGGGAAAGGAGTAAAGGATTAATTCTTTTCTGTAATCTCCTGATACTGGAAGGCTGAAGAGAATGAAGGTCAGAGCCAGGGTATCCCCCCAATCTACTCCTGGGTTTCTAGGATTTAGTAACTGTATTGTTTGTTCATTTTATTTTATTTTTTAATATATGGAAAGTGATACTGTTTATTTATGAGGCTGATACCAAGTTTCTTTTAAAAATAAATTTAAATAATAACTATGATTCTTATAGGGCACAGATGAGGCAAAAATTGTGTAAGAGGTCCATGATCTAAAGATTAGGAAACTATTTGAAGCAAAATCGAGTGTGGAAATCTGGACGGTGTCAGTGAGATTGATCAGAGGGACTGAATATGGGTTATTAAGAAGCTGAATAGACTTCCTATTAAATTGGAGGTAGAAAGAGAAGAAGGAATCTAGGATGTTGTCTGGTTTCATGGCTTGGGTGCTTGTGCTTCAGATAGAGATAGGGAATACAAGAAAGGCACATTTTTTGTTTCTATTACTAGTGAAGAATGAGGGTCAAATATTAAGGAGAGGTATACTAAGTCAAAACTTGTATGTTTTTTTCCTGTCATTTTAAGAAGGTACAGATTTAATATGTTTAACAAGGTTAATATAATATGCAGCAATGTATTTTGGATAATGAGCTGAAGTAGAGGAAAGTGAGCGAAAGTAGTTTCTGTGGTGAAAATTCACTAATGACCCATTTTACTCCTTTGAGCACTTGTCTGACACTTTGTATAAAGTATGTGCTCAATGAGAATTGATTAACTTAAGTCTAAAAAATGGAATCTCTCTTCTGTTTCTGTGCCTGGTATGTTTCTTATTAATGTCTGTTTTCTACAACACTCTTTTGCTGTCTCTTTGATCTCAAGGATTATTCTTTGATTAGCAGAGTTGAAAGCTCAACTCTATAAAAATTTTTTTTGAAAACCTGATAGAGTAGTTACAGCTAATGATTTGATTATATTTTAATTTATCATCAAAGAGCAGATTTTTTGGGTTTTAACTAAATACTTCTATTTAGAGCCCATTTTGATGACCTAAATCAGAATTTATTGCTTTTACATTTTTTGTAGAATGGCTTTAAGTGTCATTGTATGTCCGAATCTCATCAGAGACAACTATTGCTGGCTTCAGAAAATCCTCAGCAGTTTATGGATTATTTTTCAGAGTAAGTAACTCAAAGAACTCTTTATCTTATAGGCTTTATTCAGTTGAACATTTAATAGATGGTTAATATTTTAAATATTGGAAGTTCTATTATTTCTTATATGTTAACTGTATTCTCTCTATGCTCAGTTTTTATCTTCTTTTGAAAATTAATCATAGTATAAAACTGTTACAAAATTATTTCTCACAACTTAGTTTTTCCTTTCTTCCACTTCAGATATACAAAACTGTCTTTCATTCTAATACAATTGTGACAAAGAACATAGGTTCTGCATTCAGACTTCCCAAATTCAAATCCTTCTCCATTTAAAAACTGTATGCCTTTGGATGACCTACTTAAGTTTTTCTGTGGTTTATTCTCCTCATCTCTAAAATGGCACTAAGAAGCCAGGCGAGGTGGCTCACACCTGTAATCCCAGCACTTTGGGAGGCTGAGGCGGGTGGATCACAAGGTCAGGAGTTCAAGACCAGCGTGGCCAAGATGACAAAACCCCGTCTCTACTAAAAATACAAAAATTAGCCGGACATGGTGGTGGGCACCTGTAATCCCAGCGACTCAGGAGGCTGAGGCAGGAGAATTGCTTGAACCGGGGAGGCAGAGGTTGCAGTGAGCCGAGATTGCACCATTGCACTCTAGCCTGGGCGACAGAGCAAGACTCTGTCTAAAAAAAAAAAAAAAATGGCACTAAAAATAGCAACCTCTTCTAAGTATTGCTGATCCTTCATAGAGTTTATATGAAGGTCAATGAATTAACACTTTATGAGTGCTTAGAAGAGTGCCTATATTCAATTCAGATTAGCTGTTCTTATCATTACCATTAATAAACATTTCTTTGCTTCTTACCATCTCTTTCTTTCCAAACTTCTAGACATTTTGGTCCTAGGACCCCTTTATACTTTTAAAAAATATTGAAGACCCCAAGAACTTCTGTTTATGTGGGTTAGATGTATCAACACATGGAAATAAAAACAAGTTTTTTAAAAAAATTGGTTTATAAATTTTTATTATTGTTATTATTATTGAGACGGGAGTTTCGCTCTTGTTGCCCAGGCTGGAGTGCAGTGGCACCATCTTGGCTCGCTGCAACCTCTGCCTCCTGGGTTCAAGCAATTCTCCTGCCTTGGCCTCCCAAGTAGCTGGGATTACAGGCATGCGCCACCACGCTCCGCTAATTTTTTATATTTTTAATAGAGAAAGGGTTTAGGCATGTTGGCCATGCTGGTGTTGAACTCCTGACCTCAGGTGATCCACCCACCTCACCCTCCCAAAGTGCTGGGATTACAGGTGTGAGCCAACATGCCAGGCATTTTTTTTTTTTTTTTTTTTTTTTGACAGGGTCTTGTTTTGTGGCATAGTCATGGCTTACTACAACCTTGACCTCCTGGGCTCAGGCGATCCTCCTGCTTCAGCCTCCCATGTAGCTGGGAACATAGATGCACACCACCACACCTGGCTAATTTTTTGATTCTGTGTGTGTGTGTGTGTGTGTGTGTAGAGACAGGGTCTCACTTTGTTGCCCAGGCTGGTCTTGAACTCCTGGGCTCAAGTGATCCTCCTCTCTCGATCTCCCAAAGTCCTGGGATTACAGGTATGAGCCATCATACCCAGGCCAAACAAAATTATTTAATGCTTTTCTATTGACTGCACAAAACTCAGCCTCTTTCGCATGACATTCGGGGTACTTCAAAAATTAGCCAAACCTTATTTTGGTTTCCCAGCCACCTCGTCTCCCTTATTCTACTCTACCCTCACTCTCACTCTCATTTTTATCAGCCATAAATTTTAGTCAAATTAGGCCATTTCTCAGATCTGTGAGGCTTTCATGTTTCTGTGCCAGCTGGAAATAGCTTTCTCTTGCAGTTCACCTCTAGGGTTCTACTTATCCTTCACTGACCACAATGAAATCACCTCTGGGCATCTCCTGTGACTCTTTCAATGGTATTTTGTTACACTTCTTCTTCAGTTTAACTTTTGTTATGATTGGTTATGCTAGATTGTAACCTCCTTGAAGGTTAAGATTTATGTCTTATTCACCCACGTTTATCTAGCACTTAATACGGTGTACCCAGCTCAGAGGGACATATTAAGTGCCAATTTCATGTGGAATCAGGGCAGTTTTGTTGTCATAGATAGACTGGGGTCATTATGCCACCATCAGTGGCACTAACAGACTTCATGAAGGACCCATTCCAAAGGTATGTGGTAACTGTTTCTATGACTGCTTTACCAAGACAAAAAATTTCAACTCCCAACTGACTTTTAACTTAATCCTTAAAAGCTATAATATTTTGGAGTTCTTTCCTTGATCAGTTTTTAAAGGTTCATAGCCATATTCATGTAGATGTTTCACATATCATTTGGACATTAAAACTATACTACTGGCTAGATGCAGTGGCTCACGCCTGTAGTCCCAGCACCTTGGGAGGCTGAGGCAGGTGGAGATCACCTGAGGTCACGAGTTTGAGACCAGCCTGCCCAACATGGTGAAACCCCATCCCTACGAAAAATACGAAACAAAATTAGCCAGGCGTGGTGGTGGACCCCTGTAATCCTGGCTACTTGGGAGGCTGAGGCAAGAGAATCACTTGAACCTGGGAAGTGGAGGTTGCAATGAGCTGAGATCACACTATTGCACTCCAGCTTGGGTGACGAGAACGAGACTCTGTCTCAAAAAAAACAAAAACAAAAAACTGTACTACTGCTTAAATTTCAAAAAGATGATGCTATATGTTTGTAGAAATTACCTTAATGCTTTCCTTTCTTTCTTTATTAGGGAATTCCGAAATGACTTTCTAGAACTTCTCAGGAGACGCTTTGGTAAACATTTTAAATATTGTGCAAATAACAGCTTTATAAATGGCATAATCTTCTGATGATCATCAGTGTCATATTTTGTTCTCAGGCACTAAAAGGGTCCACAACAACATTGTCTACAACGAATACATCAGCCACCGAGAGCACATCCACATGAATGCCACTCAGTGGGAAACTCTGACTGATTTTACTAAGTGGCTGGGCAGAGAAGGTAAGAATGAGATTTTAAAGTTGCTTTTTCTTTCCCACTTCTAATCTTCATAGGATGAGATGTTTGGGATAAGAAAAGAGAAAAAAAATTGGGTCAGTGTTTTGCTTTTTCATCGTGTTAGTTGATTCCATTTTGGGAGCATAATTTCTGCCTTAAGTTAATAGAACATCATATAACTGTTGGACATTAAATACTTAGATAGAACTGAATAAATACTATGCAAGGTAATACAGTTGTCTCTCAGTATCCGTGGGGGATTGGGTCCAGGACCCCTTGCTGATAACCAAAATTCACAGATACTCAAGTCCCTTATATAAAATAAAATGATGTAGCACTTGCATGTAACCTATATACATCCTCCCACATACTTTAAATCATCTCGAGATTTCTTATAATATTTAATACAATGTAAATAGTTTTTATACTCTATTGTTAGGGAAAAATGGGAAGGAAAAAATGTCTGTGCATGTTCAGTACAGATGCAACCATCCGTTTTTCTTTTTTTGAATATTTCTCACCCACGGTTGGTTGAATTCACATACAGTATCTAAATTTCATTAAATATAAATATGGAAAATCCCATTTGCTGCATGAATTTGTGTATTTGAATGTGTTTTAGTGTATTTGGTGTTTTGTTTTGTTTTGTTTTTGAGACTGAGTCTCGCTCTGTTGCCAGGCTGAAGTGCAGTGGTAGGATCTTGGCTCACTGCAACCTCTGCCTCCTGGGTTCAAGTGATTCTCCTGCCTCAGCCTCCTGAGTAGCTGGGATTACAGGTGTGCACCACCACGCCCAGCTAATTTTTGTATTTTTAGTAGAGATGGGATTCACCATGTTGGCCAGGCTGGTCTTGAGCTCCTGACCTCAAGTGATCCACCTGTGTTGGCCTCCTAAAGTGCTGAGATTACAGGTGTAAGCCACTGCGCTCGGCCTGATTTGTGTGTGTTTGAATGAATAAATATGCAGAGGTGAAACACATTCATATTTATGTTTTGCTTTGATTGTATGCTAATTTATGGCAGTGGCTGTTTTTTTAAGGCTTGTGCAAAGTGGACGAGACACCAAAAGGCTGGTATATTCAGTACATAGACAGGGACCCAGAAACTATCCGCCGGCAACTGGAACTGGAGAAAAAGAAAAAGCAGGACCTTGATGATGAAGAAAAAACTGCCAAATTTATTGAAGAGCAAGTGAGAAGAGGCCTGGAAGGGAAGGAACAGGTGGGTAAGCAACATCATCCTGAGAAGCAACGTCCAGAGGTCTAAAGAAGCACAATGGCTTGGTTTTTCTTTTTTGTTTTTGTTGTTGTTGTTGTTTTGGAGATGGAGTCTTGCTCTGCCGCCCAGGCTGGAGTGCAGTAGCGCAATCTCAGCTCACTGCAACCTCTGCCACCCAGGTTCAAGCAGTTCTCCTGCCTCAGCCTCCTGAGTACCTGGAACTACAGGCGCCCGCCACCACGCCCAGATAATTTTTGTATTGTTAGTAGAGACAGGGTTTCACCATGTTGGTCAGGCCGGTCTCCAACTCCTGACCTCGTGATCCGGCCGCCTCGGCCTCCCAAAGTTACAGGATTACAGGCGTGAGCCACCGTGCCCAGCCAGCTTGTGTCTTTTCAGCGTTGAATCAAGTTCTGTGGGCACTGTTCCTGAACTAAGAGGAGAACCAGCCTGGTGTCAAAAGCACATTTTTGGCATTGACAAACCTTGGTTTGATTCCTGACATACTAACTTCATAATCTTGTATAATTGCATAATATTTCCAAACCTCAATTTCCTTATATCTAAATAGAGACGCTACCTAATGGGAAGACATATACACAGATAATTTCAACTGATTATAATTAATTCAGTACTGGAGGTAAATGCAGCATGTGGAAACATAGAGAAGCAATGTTTACTCTGGCCTGGGGAGGACAGAGTATTTGAGGGTGGATACAACCCCAGTGCCCAGGAGTCTTGAAGAATCAGTGGGTGCAAGCCAGATGAATGGGGAGGGAAGGAGCTGAGGTGTTAGAATAACTAGGTTGGGGCATTTATTTCAACATATATTTATAAGCGCCTCCGCTGTGCCAGGATTCTTGTAGGCACAGGGAATACTCAGTGAACAAAAGATACAGAAAACTGTCTCCTGTGGCTTACATTTTTTTTTTTTTTGGGGGGGGGACGGAGTCTCACTCTGTCGCCCAGGCTGGAGTGCAGTGGCGCGATTTCAGCTGACTGCAACCCCCGCCTCCTGGGTTCAAGCGATTCTCGTGTCTCAGCCTCCCAAGTAGCTGGGACTACAGGCACAAGCCACCATGCCCAGCTAATTTTTTGCATTTTTAGTAGAGACGGGGTTTCACCATGTTGGCCAGGTTGATCTCAAACTCCTGACCTCAGGTGATCCGCCCTTCTGGGCCTCCCAAAATGCTGAGATTACAGGCGTGAGCCACCACGCCCTGCCTCCTGTGGCTTACATTCTAACACTTGTGTGTGAGCAGGCAAATATAGCCTGGTGTGTATGTGAAACTGAGTGTTTTTTGAACTGGTTATTGAGCTTTAACATACATTGATTAAAGTGTATGAGGTGCATTAATCTTAGGTGTACAGTTCACTGAACTTTTACAAATATACGTGTGTAGAAAGAGTGACAGAAAACCTGTGGAACCACCACCCAGATAAAGATATAGAACTTTTCTAGTATCCCAGAGGGTTTCCTCATGCTCGTTGCCAATTAATACCCCATCTCCCAGACATAACCATTGTTCCAGTATACCACGATTGATTATTCATTAGTTTAGTCTGTTCTTGAACAGACTTAAAAAAAAAAAAAGCTTTTGCTTTTCCTAAAGTTTATTGCCTTATATTTTTGTTACTTCCTGTTTAAGTTGTAATAGAAATAAAAATATAGGTAAACTTCTGCAGTTTGGCATAGAAAAGCTGCTTTTTGGTATTTAGAATAATTCTCAATTGGATAATATTTGCAAAGCATGTAAGTTCTATTTTTTTTTTTTTTTTTTTTTTTTGAGAGACTGTCTCTCTCTGTCACCAGGCTAGAATGCAGTGGCATGATTACAGCTCACTGCACCCTTGACCTCTGGTGCTCAAGTGAACCTCTTGCCTCATATGAGTAGCTGGGACTATAGGTGTGCACCACAATGCCTGGCTAATTTTTTTTTTTTTTAATAGAGATGGGGGGCTCTTGCAATGTTGTCCAAGCTGGTCTCGAACTCCTGGCCTCAAGCATTCCTCCTGCCTGAGCTCGACCTCCCAAAGTGCTGGGATTATAGGCATGAGCCACCATGCCCAGCCAAAGCATGTAATTTCTTTTCTTTTTTTTTTTTTTTGAGACAGAGTCTTGCTCTGTCACCCAGGCTGGGGAGGGCAGTGGCATGATCTCGGCTCACTGCAACCTCCGCCTCCCAGGTTCAAGCAATTCTCCTGTCTCAGCCTCCCAAGTAGCTGGGATTACAGGCGCCCGCCACCATGCCGGGCTAATTTTTGTATTTTTAGTAGAGACGGGGTTTCACCAAGTTGGCCAGGCTCGTCTCGCTCTTTCACCCAGCCTGGAGTGAAGTGGCACGATCTCCGCTCACTGCAGCACTCACCCCCTGGATTCAGACGATTCTCCTGGCTCAGCCTCCTGAGTAGCTGGCATTACAGGCGCCCGCCATCACACCCGGCTAAATTTTTGTATTTTTAGTAGAGACAGGGTTTCACCACGTTGGCCAGGCTCATCTCGAATGCCTGACCTCAGGTGATCCACCTGCCTTGGCCTCGCAAAGTGCTAGGATTACAGGCATGAGCCACCATACTGGGCCAAAATATGTAATTTCTTTTTTTTTTTTTTGAGATGGAGTCTCGTTCTGTCACCCAGGCTGGAGTGCAGTGGCATGATCTTGGCTCACTGCAACCTCTGCCTCCCGGGTTCACGTGATTCTCCTGCCTCAGCCTCCTGAGTAGCTGGGATTACAGGTGCATACCACCATGCTCGGCTAATTTTTTGTGTATTTTTAGCAGAGACAGGGTTTCACTGTGTTGGCCAGACTGGTCTCGAACTACTGACCTCATGATCTGCCCGCCTCGGCCTCCCAAAGTGCTGGGATTACAGGTGTGAGCCACCGCGCCTGGCCGAAAGCATGTAATTTCTTAATTAGGATCTTAATCACTTGCGTATTAGAGCTGCCTGGGAACACAGGTAGCAAGTCATAATTTAGGCCTATTGAATGGTGATAGTAAGTGCAATGTACACCAAAACCTTAAAACTTTCTTTTTTTTAGGAGGTCCCTACTTTTACGGAATTAAGCAGAGAAAATGATGAAGAGAAAGGTAGTTTTATTTTTTATTTTTTCTTTTTTTAAACATAGATGCTTTTATATTGGCTTTGTTAAAAATGCAACTTGTCAACATATCTGAGAATAAGACATCGAATGTGTCTGAGTTACATTGTTCTTATTAATTTAATGAAAAGGTAATACTAATGAATTGATTGGATAGGATAGCTGAAGCCACAAGTAACAAAACTGACTACAATTAACTTAAACAATAAGGAAATATCTTGCCATAATAAGAATCCCAGAGGTAAGGTGGTTCTGCATGCCATCTAGACACAGGGTAGCTGCCAACACTCCAGCCGTCACATGCAGATTCTGCATTGTCGTGAGGATGGCAGAGAGCATCTCTGGATGCTCTTCTAGAATCTTGTTAAGAGCAAGGATACTTTTCCAAGAAGACACTCCTCCCTTCAATAGATTTCCTTTCAAATGTCATTGGCCAGAACTGTGTCACATGTCCACTCAAAAAGCAGTCACTGGGATTATGTTGATTGGATTAGACAATCAGAATTCACCCCAGAGATGAAAATGGTGTTATGTCCCCTGAGCCACAGGCAAGAGGCGTGGAGACCTAAACAGAATTGGAGTACTGTTCCCCAGGGGAAATGGGGATAGAGCAGGGAAGCGCCGGTGTGGTCTGCCACGGTGACACGGTGTGCAAGTTCCTCCTGTTCTATGGCTTTCAGTGTGGGACGTTTTACAGGAATGTGTGGTCTCCGTATAGGAACATTTTAGCTCTCGTTTATTGAAAATGTCCTGGAGTTCCTCTGTGAACACTTTGT
Organism: Homo sapiens; assembly: GCF_000001405.40. Classification (NCBI taxonomy): domain Eukaryota; kingdom Metazoa; phylum Chordata; class Mammalia; order Primates; family Hominidae; genus Homo; species Homo sapiens. Next base: position 7,774,963 of record NC_000010.11, on the reverse strand, counting down.
AGTATCTTATCTGAGAAGTTTTATTATGATTTTCTTGAAATGTATGTATGGAATAACATTTTTTTCTTCTAGTCACGTTTAATTTGAGTAAAGGAGCATGTAGCTCATCCGGAGCAACATCTTCCAAGTCAAGGTGAGCTGCATCATTCACGGATATCTTAAAACATTAGGATTTTTGTGAAATATTGGTTACTGTATTTTAAAGTATTGTGAATCATTTTTTTCTAGTTGTAGTTTTCACCTGTTTTTGGTTTTTATTGGTTGCGTTGTTTTTTTAGCAATTGTTCTTTTTTTTTTTTTAAGAGATGGGGTCTTGCTATGTTGCCCAGGCTGGCCTCGAACTCCTGGGCTCAAGGTGATCTTCCTGCCTCAGCCTCCCAGGTATCAATAGCTGGGATTACAGGCACGCCCTACTGTGCCCAGCTAGCAACTGTTCTTTTCCTATTTGCCTGTTATGAGATGATTGTGTTTTTTGAGGAAAGCCTCATTTTGATTATATGTTTCACATCAATAAACTTTTGCTTCTCCATGAATCCTTCTCCATTTAACGGTTCCTTATTCGCTATATAAAACTGTTTCTTTTCCTGTCTTAGCCCACTTGTCACAGTTTAAATGTTAGCTGGATCTGCATTTTTCTTTTACTTGCTGCATTGTGAGTTTTCTGAGAATAGAGATTATCAACCTCTCTCCTTCGTCCCCAGTACAGTGTAAATACACCAGGAAACACTCAGTAGTCATTGCCCGCCCTTCTAGGTAGTCTAGCACAGGGCAGGGGTCAGCAAACTTTTTCTGTAAAGAGCCACATAGTAAATATTTTAGGCTTTTCGGCCAGATGTCTTTGTCACAATAACTGAACTCTGCTGTTGTAGTGAGAAGGCAGCCATGGACAGTGCAGGAAGGAACTGAGCATGGCTGGGTTCCAGTACATTTATTTACAAAAGCCGGTGGCAGCTGGCATTTGGCCCTTAGGCTGTCGTTTGCCAAAACCTGGCATAGCATGTGGTCAGGTAGTTCTACCTACTTTCTACATTATCTTCTCTTGCAATTTTTATGTATTCTTTCACCAAATCTTTATTCACTATTTCTGACATGCAGTACATTCAGTTTTGTTATGGAGGTTAAAAAAGATGAGTAAGACAAGAGAGTCAAGTACCAGTATCTACTGGAATTTGCTTTTAAGCCAGATGATATTTTCTATTTTACTTAGTACTTTACATGTTGTTTTTTTAAGATCTAAGTTTTTCGGGTTTGTTTGTAGGTCATTGTTTATTTACACTATTGAATAAGTGGCTAGGAGTATGGAAGGAGATAGGTAGGCTGAATCAGCAATATAGATCAACTTTAAAATGATTTGCCAGATGTCTTAACTTTGATCAAAATAATGTTTCAAAATTAACACCTACATTAGATATCATCAAGAAGTTGGTTATTTGGGTTCTACATCTGGGTACATTCCAGAAGAATTGTCTAACATTGGCATGATATGACCTGGAAGATCGGCTCAAATATAACACACATGCCTTATACTTTTAGAACTTTATGCATTTCTGTCTGTTCTTTTGAAGTATGTGTTATTCCTAGATGTAGATGGATGTTAAAATTGGTTCCAGTGTTCCCCAATTGACCTCCCTTGTATTAGTTTTCTATGGTCGCTGTAACAGATTACCACAAACTGGGTGGCTTAAAACAACAGAAATATGTTGAGGTCATATTCTAGAGGCCAGATTCTGAATCAGTATCACTGGCTTGAAATCAAGGAGCCTGCTGGCTGTGCTCTGGGGAAGAATCTGAGCTCCGGGGAAGAATCTGTCCCTTGCCTTTTCCAGCTCTGTTGGCCGCAGGCGTTACTTGGCTCATGGTTGCATCTCTCCAGTATTTAAGACGAGCATCTTCAAATGTCTCTTTGCCCCATCCTCACATCACCTTTTCCTCCAGGTGTCAAATCTCCCTCCACCTTGCTCTTACAAGAAAAGGGATGATTGTAGTTAGGGTCCACCTTGATAATCCAGGCCAAGCTCCTCATCTCAAGATCTTTAACTTACTCTCATTTGCAAAGACTCTTTTCTTAGATAATGTAACATTGATAGGTTTCAGGGATAAGGACCTGACATTTTTGGGGGTCTATACAGCCTGCTGTACCCCTATGCCAAACCTTGATATTAGCAAAAATATTAGTTTTATTTGACCAATTTTGATAATTTATTTGATAAGTTATCTATGTTAATATGTTGTGACCCGAGTCCATGAATAAGGAACAATATTTGTATAAGAATGTAGTGTCATGGGTAATACAATTGAAAGACATCTAAAATGTTTTTTCTCTGAAATTATGGTACATAATATAGTTTGGGATTCATTCTCCTGTGCATTTATATCTCTTATATATCTAAAACCTAGAAAAACTAAATGATGTGGATATCAAAGTGGACATTTTAGGCTATGTTGAGGCACAAAAATGAGCCCCCTTATTGCTTGAAACAGTTTACTTGATTTTCATCTCCATTTCTCCTTTGGGCTTCTTTATCTCCTTTGAGAAAGGCTAGAATTCACTCTAGTTACTGAAAGCAAAAATGAGGGCTGTTCAAGGAACCTTACTTTCCATTTTCATTCTGCTCATATTCATATCTTGCCTTGATTTTATTTTAACTCTGCCTTACCCCTGTCTCAGTCTCTCACCCTTCTAACAGAATCTTGATATTGCCAGCAAAAGGACCTTTCTAAACTTCAGCTCTTACCGTGTCACTCATTTATTAACATCTCTTGGTTTCAGCATCTCTAAGATGACCTCGAATTTTTTTACATACTATTAAGTGACTTTTGTGATCCTGTATGTCTCCTGCCGTTTGCTCTCAGCTGTGCTCATTGATTTGTGCTTTCCTAAATGAGCCTAGGGTCTCGCCCTTTCTTGCCTTTACATCTGCTGCTCCCCTTCCTGGAATGCCCTTTACATCACCCTGAGATCTTGCTGGGCTCTTCTGATCATCTTTTTCCCCATTATTGTCACATTCTAAGCATTTAATGATGCTGAGTAAATTTTCTTTTTCTTTCTTTCTTTTTTTTTTTTTTTTGAGACGGAATTTCGCTCTTGTTGCCCAGGCTGGAGCGCAGTGGCATGACCTCGGCTCACCACAACCTCTGCCTTCCAAGTTCAAGCGATTCTCCTGCCTCGGCCTCCCAAGTAGCTGGGAGTACAGGCATGCACCACCATGCTCGGCTAATTTTTTTGTATTTTTAGGAGAAACTGGATTTCACCATGTTGGTCAGGCTGGTCTCAAACTCCTGACCTCAAATGATCCACCTGTCTCAGCCTCCCAAAGTGCCGGGATTTCAGGCATGAGCCACCGCGCCCGGCCCAGTTGAGTTTTAAGAAGAGTAAATAATAGCCTTAAATAAACTCAAGTGTCTAAGCTGAGATTAATACCAAAATACTGAAATAATTTATAGATGTATTAATATTTGGGGACTCACTGTTGAGAACCTCTGAGGTATCATGGAGATTGGTAGAGGAGTCAGAAGGCAGAAAAATAAGCAAATATATTTTTTTAAGTGGAGAAAAGTCTTTAGAAAACAATAGATTAATAAGCATTTCCAACAGATTATGATAGGAAGTAGGTGGTTTGTGAACATGAGACGAGGAAGTGGTGATCCCTCAAGCCAAAAATAACTGCTTAATCCTAACTCCTCTTTTGCTAGGGTTATTAGTGCCTATTTTGTAGACATATTGTAGTTGATTATGATCTGAATTATCCCTGGATCCCTAGTTCAAAGTACACCTAAATCTAAAGAACATTTAAGTAGCAAGTTGAGGAGCTTATCTTACGTGGATTTGGCCTGTTCAAAACCCATGTCCATTATTTATAGCTGTCACACCCTGGGCAATGCATTCAGTAATAGAACCAGAGTTTAAATATATGTTCAGTGGGTTGAATTACAGGTCAAAACCCAGTGAGTAAAATTTTACAAAGGTAAATGGAAAGCCTGACAGTTAGGTAAAGAAAAACAACCCCCATAAAAACAGAGTGACAGAGTCCTTACCTACAATTCTCCATAGAGAAAAGAAGTAGGGGTTTTAGTTGACTTCAAGCTTAAAGTAACCCAGCAGTTCATCAATCTAAGGCTACCTTTAAATGCACTTTTTAAAGTCCAAATAAAGGAAAATAATAAATCTGTTGTATTCTCTACTAATCATATATTTTTTTCTTGGTTAGCTCCATGATAGCTTTGTGTAAATATTTATCCTTTGCTTCATCTTTTGTAAATATGACACATTAAATAATTAGATGGGTAAAAGTCATTTGATCAGCCAGTATTAATGGAGCATCTATTTAATGTGAGTTACAAGATAGTTACTGCTACTTTGCAGGAAAAAATAGATGCTTCCTCCCTACTACAAGAGAGGAGTCGTACATACAAATGATTATCATACAAGGTGCAGTGTGATGCATGCCACAAGGTACTGTGGCAGTTCAAAACACTGCAAGATCCAAGAACCCTCATGAATGGACCTTAAAGAATTTTAACAAATGGAGATAAAAGGAGAGATTATTTTAGGTATAAAACAAGGCATGTGCAAATTTTCAGAGGCTGAAAGCATAGGGCATGGCTCAGTCAATAGCAAATTGTTCTTAGTGACTGGTGTACATAGTAAGTCAGGGATGGTGACTAGGATGGTATTCTGGGGCCAATGGTGACAGTTGTATATTGGCAGTAAAGAATTTAGAATTTACACTGTCAGCCGGGCACGGTGGCTTACGCCTGTAATCCCAGCACTTTGGGAGGCCAAGGCAGGTGGATCACCTGAGGTCAAGAGTTCAAGACCAGCCTGGCCAACATTGCGAAACCCCATCTCTACTAAAAATACAAAAATTAGCCCAGCGTGGTGGTGGCTGCCTGTAATCCCAGCTACTTGGGAGGCTGAGGCACGAGAATCGCTTGAACCTGGGAGGCGGAGGTTGCAATGAGCCAAGATCGCGCCACTGCACTCCAGCCTGGGCGACAGAGTGAGACTCCATCTCAAAAAAAAGGATTTACACTGTTAACTCTGGGCAGTTGGGAGCAGTTAAAAACTTTTAAGTAACACGTTGAGAACTTTGCTTTACAAAACCAGAACTGAGAGTAACGTGCTAGACTTAAACCGGTCATTTGAAAACATGTCATTTAATTCTTGCATTTGGGTTAAGAGTTGGGTCATGTTATTATCTTCGTTTATAGATGAAGATTTGAGGCTTAGGAAAGTGAACTACTCCAAGTCCTAATAGAAGTAGCCTCAAACCCTGATCTGCTCAACACCAAAACCTAAGCTGCCTACCATCATTCTACTATACAAAGTATAGTAGCAGTGACCGAAGGAGTGAGGAGAAGGTACAGAGAGTTAAAGACAGCATGGGTTAAATGCTCACACAGTGCTGATAGGTACAGAGAGTTAAAGATAGCACGGGTTAAATGCTCACACAGTGCTGATGGTTCTGTAAGAGATGTGGACAGGGACTCCATGGTTTTCACTAATCTCCTGTAAATTACTATGTCACACATTTATTCTATATTGTGAATTTTGCACATCGTAAAGCATTCGTCTGTGTATGGTTCTTGGTAACAAGCATGGTTCTCCTGTTCATCAGTACTCTGGGACCGAGTGCACTGAAGACGATAGGAAGTTCAGCATCAGTGAAACGAAAAGAATCTTCCCAGAGCTCAACTCAGTCTAAAGAAAAGAAGAAAAAGAAATCTGCACTGGATGAAATCATGGAGGTACAGTTTATGGATTGCGTGTGGACACCTTAGAACCCAAGGAAAATTAAATCATTTCACCATTTATTAGATTAATAGAAAATTAGGAAAATTATCATGTACGGACTAGGGAATAGTGACCTAGCTACATACAGTTCCCCGAACTGGAGTTGGAGCCCCCCTAAATAGGTTTATTTATTTATTTGTTTTTTATTTTTTTGAGATGGAGTCTCACTCTGTTGCCCAGGCTGGAGTGCAGTGGCACAATCTCAGCTCACTGCAACCTCCGCTTCCCAGGTTCAAATGATTCTCCTGGCTCAGCCTCCCAAGTAGCTGGGATTGCAGGCGCTTGCCACCATACCTGGCTAATTTTTGTATTTTTAGTAGAGATGGGGTTTCACCATGTTTGCCAGGCTGATCTCAAACTCCTGACCTCAAGTCATCCACCCACCTTGGACTCCCAAATGCTGGGATTACAGGCATGAGCCACCATGCCCCACCTAAATAGGTTTCTTTTAATGCCTCAGGTGCTGTCTTTGAAACTCCCTGCGCTTGTTACGGTCAGTAGAATTCAGTTAGAAATTGGAGTCCTTCATGGTTGGCCTCCCTCCTTCAACTGCTACTCTCCTGTTGACTTTGACTTCCGCTTAGCACCTCCTAGCGAGCACGAGAAACCTGTGACATGTTTTTTTTTTGGTTGCTGTTTTTGTTGTTGAGACAGTCTCTCTCTGTTGCCCAGGCCAGACAGAGTGCAGTGGCACAATCTCGGCTCACTGCAGTCTCCGCTCCCCAGGTTCAAGAGATTCTCCTGCCTCAGCCTCCCCGAGTAGCTGGGATTGCAAATGTGTGCCACCATACCCAGCTAGTTTTTGTATTTTTAGTAGAGACAGGGTTTCACCATGTTGGCTAGGCTGGTCTCAAACTCCTGATCTCAAATGATCTGCCTACCTTGACCTCCCAAATTGCTGGAATTACAGGTGTGAGCCACTGCACCTGGCCTAGTGTGACATGGTTTTAATTTGATTTAGCCTGATGGCTAAGTCTATGTGAAAAATCATTGGAAGTACATGATTATCCATATTTAGGGCCATACTTGGGCTCTAAATCTACCCAAGACTCTAGAGTAATGCTGCAGGAGGTTCTTAATTTACTCCTAAATATCCCCTTCTCCATTCTAACACATAGCCTACCTTATCAATGAATTAAGAAAATAGGTGGGAGAGAAGAGGCAGGATAGAGGAGAAAGAGTAAATGAATACAAGAAGCTAACTTTTTTTTCTTTAATATTATTTCCTCTGTCTCCTCATTTATTTTCGTCTTCATTGTGAAGGGATAGAAAATGCCGTCCAGTCTTTTTTTTTTTTTTTTTTTGAGACGGAGTCCTGCTCTGTGTTCTGTCACTCAGGCTGGAGTGCAGTGGTGCAATCCCAGCTCCCTGCACCATCTACCTCCCAGGTTCAAGTGATTCTCCTGCCTCAGCCTCCTGAGTAGCTGGGATTACAGGCACCCGCCACCATGCCTGGCTAATTTTTTATATTTTTAGTAGAGGCGGGATTTCACTATGCTGGCCAGGCTGATCTTGAACTCCTGGCCTCAGGTGATCCACCCGCTTCGGCCTCCCAAAGTCCTGGGATTACAAGGTGTGAGCCACCGCACCCGGCTGGCTGTTAGTCTTCTCTGTTCCTAGTCCTCACACCATGCAGGATGATCTAAAAAGCTTCAAGTATAATGTTTAGATGAAACTTACTATGAAACTGAGTCACTGTTACATGCTGCACATTGTGCAAGCCCCCGGGTCTGTATAGTAGAAAGAAAAACAGTCCTTGTTAGTCACGGAGCTTTCATTCTAACGTCAGAGCTGTTCAGCAGTGAATCAGTGAATGATCACAAAATGCTGAGTGCCAAGGAGGTATGAGGGTAGCGCCTGGGGAGAGATCCTGTGAACGGTACCTAGACAGGAACGATCAAGCATCTGAAGGAAAGGCCCACGGGACTGGAGTGCAGCAAGCACCTGGTGGCGTATGAGGTCAGAGAGCCAGGAGGGCCAACACCATAGAGGTCTTACATGCTGTGACAGGGATTTTTAAAATTTAATTTTATTCAAAGAAAAATGGAAAGCCAAATCGACCTTTTTTGAATATAATGCATACTAATTTTAGAACACTGTTTGTTGAAAAGGTGAAGGATTTAAAATGAGGTTTTTTTTTTTTTTTTGAGATGGAGTGTCACTCTGTGGCCCAGGCTGGAGTGCAGCAATGTGACCTCGGCTCACTGCAACCTCCGCCTCACAGGGTTCAAGCAATTCTCACGTCTCAGCCTCCCAAGTAGCTGGGACTACAGGCATGCACCACCACGCCTGGCTAATTTTTGTACTTTTAGTAGAGACACGGTTTCACTGTGTTCGCCAGGCTAGTCTCAAACTCCTGACCTCGTGATCCGCCCACCTCAGCCTCCCAAAGTGCTGGGATTACAGGCATAAGCCACCGCGCCCAGCCTAAAATTAGGTTTCGAATCAACCAAGGGATTATTACATTGTTTGATCCCATTGAAAATTGGTACTTAGGGTTAACTGTAAGCAGTTGAGAAAGAAAAAGATTCGATATTTTCGCCATACAGCCCCACAGCTCTCTTTTCTTTGGTCACTCTCATTTATCTCTTGGTGGTATTTTTCTTCCCTTTCATTCATGAGCTTTACTGTCATTTTCAAACAGGGAGCCCCCTGTTTGCTACCAGGCTGTATACTTAACCACACTGTGCTACATTGATCCATGTGTTATGATTTTACTGCATGAAAACGTGGCCTCTTTTCCAGCTCCTGACAGTCACATGGGAGAAAGTGGGTGAGGGCAGGTACTGGCTGGTCTTTCAGCTGAATAGGAGTTGTGTCTGTTTGCTTCCTAGGTCAGTTGACTTGCTTTATTATATACTTTTAAAAACTGAAGTTTTTTTTAAATCAAAAACTAATGACAAGTAATGTTTATTTGTATTTATCAGAGCTCGCAAATTATGTCATTGGTCTTCTGTGAAGTAGAGGACTTCACAGTTTTATGGTGTTATTTTGCTAAATAGAATGGTATTTTGAAATCCAATGAGGATTTTAGGGAGATAATTTAAGACATTATGTGTTCTACAGATTGAAGAGGAAAAGAAAAGAACTGCCCGAACAGACTACTGGCTACAGCCTGTAAGTATTCAGTTGGAGTTTCTTAAGTTCTAAATGTATGTTTAAGTGAATGATTTAACTAGCATTTGGTATAAGTAACTAAACTTTTCAAACACGTATAATCTATATAGATAGAGTTAGTTATAACTTATAATGACTTTTCTTCCTATTAGATCATTAATTATTGGTTGCACCTCTATTGGAGAGTTACTTCATGCTTATAGACTAATAATGTTCTTTAAGTTTAGTGCTAAACTTGTTTATGGGCATCTTAAATTTGAGCCAGGAATTTTCAATTTTTGCTATAAGACAAGAGGTTATGTTTTCAGAAATGAGTTCAAAAAGTAGAACTGTAAATGCCCAAGTGTTGGTTTTCAGTTTACAACTTATTGGAACTAGAATGTCCATTTATTAATAGGTACATTGTGGAGAAAAGCAGGCTTTAATTTCACAAACTCAAGGGAGTTTTATATTTTATTGCTTATTTATTATTGCTTATTGTTTTAAAATAATTTAAAAATAGTTTTTAAACATTTAACAATATTTTAAAATGATTATTTATTGATGCTCTATTTTAGACTTACTGAGACATGACATTTTCATAAAACTTTCAGAGTGTCTTATTCTTTTTTTTATTTTTAAATAGAGACAGGGTCTTGCTCTATTGACCAGGCTGGTCTGAAACTCCTGGCCTCAAGCGATCCTCCCACCTCAGCTTCCAGAGTAGCTAGGACTACAAGCATGCACCACTAATGCCCTGCCAATTTTTGTATTTTTTGTAGAGACAAGGTTTTACTCTTTTGCCCAGGCTGGTCAACATAGTAGCCTCAAGTGATCCTCCTGCCTCGACTTCCCAGGGTGTTAGGATTACTGGCCCGAGCCACTGTGCCGAATTTTTTTTTTTTTTTTTTTTTGAGATGGAGTTTTGCTCTCATTGCCCAGGCTGGAGTGCAATGGCACGATCTCAGCTCACCGTAATCTCTGCCTCCTGAGTTCAAGCGATTTTCCTGCCTCAGCCTCCCTAGTAGCTGAGATTACAGGCATGGGCCACCACATCCGGTTAATTTTGTATTTTTAGTAGAGACGGGGTTTCTCCATGTTGGTCAGGCTGGTCTCGAACTCCAGACCTCAGGTGATCCACCTGCCTCAGCCTCCCAAAGTGCTGGGATTACAGGCGTGAGCCACCGCGCCCGGCCCACTGTGCCTAGTTTTTAAACTCAGAAAGGAAATATTTTTAACAGATCTACTGTGGATAAGGGCCAATAAGTACAGTGATGTAATGAATTATCTTCCAATTACTAGAGTGTGAACCCATGAGAGCGTTTGAGAAATTAGCCCAGAAAATAGTATGACTAAATTGGAGAAGTTGTTTTGGCATTAATTGGCTTCATTTAGAAAGTCTTAAAAGAGAGACTTCAGAATAAGACCGTTCACATTTTTCCGTAAACCTATCTTTCTACTATTAAATACCCTCTCCCCAAAGTCCTTCCTAAAGTTTTGTTAGTACGATTTTAAGCATGGCTTTATGAAATACTTGACCATCTCTTTGATATATTCACTTGAAGTAGCAAATATAGAATCACTGCAGTAATATTGCATTGTTAGGCAATTTAATTTTCATTATTAGCTTTTAGACAACTAATCCAAATCAGGAAAAAATGGTAAAGAAGCAAACTCTGAATTCATTCATAAGAAGTAAGCCCAGATTTCCCTCCCATTTGAGAATTAGATGGTCAGAAGAACAATACCTTTAGCTATATCTAATCTGGAGGAATCCCAACTGTATGAAAATTCAAAGCAACTTAATGAGAAAGGGGCATAGTGAGAACTGTCCTGCATAAGCTTGCAGGCTCAGTGCCTTGCAATTTCCAGTGAGTCTCTTGCAATCTGAGTTTTTATCAGCAGTGAACAACTCAGCGCTTTTCACTTCCTGCAATGGAAAGAAACCATCTACGAAAGACGTGAAGTACTAGAGTTGAATTTTACCGATAACAGTCCTAGATTTCCAGAAATCTGCAATGTAGAAATCAGACATTTTTTATATATATGTATATATTTTTTTCCTCTTGCTAACCACGTTGAACAGAAAGGGGAAGAAGGAATAAAAGATTGCTAAGGAAATGTTTGTCATTGTTGGGAAGGCAGAGAACTCCAGCATTTCTTATTTGGCAGGGCAGTTACATTTTCCTGTGGTTTTGGGTGAACATAGTTTAAAAGGAAGAAGTAAATGACAAACGATAACTTCTGTCTTTCCTTTCATTTTTTTTGTTATTATTTTCTAGGAAATTATTGTGAAAATTATAACCAAGAAACTGGGAGAGAAATATCATAAGAAAAAGGCTATTGTTAAGGTAAGGACGTGCAATTATGAATGGAATTTGTGAAAAAAGCTTGGGTCACTGAGTGAAGCTATTTTGGTATTTCTTGAAAATCAAGTCCTAGTAGCAGAAGTACTATGTTTAAAATTCTTGATTATTCCATGAAATGGAAGCTGAATTCATGATTGTTGGAGAAATATTTCTTTTTCATCCATAGTTTCTACTCAGCGTTGATCTGTTTTCTTACTAGGACAGATAGTATGTATGAAGGCCCATCAGCACCTCTTCAAAACCTCAGCATGCATGCCTTGCTTGTCAGTAAAATGTACTTTATTTTTTAATGATAGGCCATATATTAAAAGTAGTGGCAAAAACTGCAATTACTTTTATGCCAGCCTAACAATTATACTGTCAGAGGTCTCATGAGGACTTCTTGTGTTTTGCTTGAGAAACTGTCTTTTGGCTACTCTGGGATTTTATTTATTTTTATTTTTATTTCTGAGACAGAGTCTGGCTCTGTTGCCCAGGCTGGAGTGCAGTGGTGCGATCTCAGCTCATTGCAACCATCGCCTCCCAGGTTCAAGTGATTGTCCTGCCTCAGCCTCCCGAGTAGCTGGGATTACAGGTGGCCACCACCGCACCTGGCTAACTTTTATATTTTTAGTAGAAACGGGGTTTCACCAAGTTGGCTGGGCTGGTCTCAAACTCCTGACCTCAGGTGATCTACCTGCCTCAGCCTCCCAAAGTACTGGGATTACAGATGTGAGCCACTGCACCCGGCCTACTCTGAGATTTTAAAGTTTGTATCAATATTCTAGGCCTTTTCTCCCTTTTTGCCTTTCCTAAATTTAGTTTTATTCTAGCACCCAGCCTTGTGCATGCCTATTGCCCTTCTTCCACTGTACATTAAGCTAGGCAAAACTACCCCTCTTGTTAGATTTCTTAAAGTCTTATTCCAGGACCACCAATCTGTTATTGTTTCCAGATGAAAACCTTTACTAAGCTTTGAATTGAGTTCTTTATTGAGAACCATAGACTGGGAAATCATGTATGGAATCTAGAAAATAGTGTCATTTATAGAAGGAGTTACTCTTTCTTTTGATTGATATTTTATTTGTCTTCATTTCATTTGCTTTTGACCTTTTAAATGAGTGTGCACATATTTCTTCTATTATAAAAGTGTTCATTTTACATGACAGGAAGTAATTGACAAATATACAGCTGTTGTGAAGATGATTGATTCTGGAGACAAGCTGAAACTTGACCAGACTCATTTAGAGACAGTAATTCCAGCACCAGGTAAATCTGTTTGCAGACCATTTAATACATATGCCATCAAAATGAGCGGTTCCATTTTCAAACCACTGTATTTTGACAGTACTTGTTGGTTGTTATTTTTCTGTCTTGGCGGCATTAACTGCCAGCGTAACTCATCTCTGTTTGGATTCAAGGGCATCGTAGTTTACTGGCTCTCTGATGAAGCTGTTTTGTGGCATCAATGGATTTTCCTTTCCTGGAATACTTTTTTTTTTTTTTCCTGAAGCAAAACGTAGACATATATGGATAGCATTTGTTATATTAGGCTTATGGTTATAGGTTGAGAATCTCTCATCTGAAATGCCTGGACCAGAAGAGTTTCCAATTTTGGATTTTGGAATTTGCATATACATAATTGGATATCTTAGGGTTGGAACCCATGTCTTAACACAAAATTGATTTATGTTTTATTTTATTTTTATTTATTTATTTATTTTTGAGACACAGTTTCACTCTGTCACCCAGGCTGGAGTGTGGCGGCACGATCTTGACTTACTGCAACCTCCATCTCCCAGGTCAAGCAATTCTCCTGCCTTAGCCTCCCAAGTAGCTGGGATTACAGGCATGCATCACCACATCTGGCTAATTTTTGTATTTTTAGTAAAGACGGGGCTTCACTGTGTTGGCCAGGCTGGTCTCAGACTCTTGACCTCAAGTGATCCACCCACTTCAGCCTCCCAAAGGGCTGGAATTACAGGCCTGAGCCACCATACTCATCCTCATTTATGTTTTATATACACCTTACACACATAGCCTGAAGGTAATTTTATACAATATTTTAAATAATTTTGATTGCATCTTGACAGTGGCCTGTCACAGGAGGTCAGGTGTGGAATTTCCCACTTGTGGCATGATGTCAGCACTCAAAAGATTTTACATTTTGGAGCTTTTCAAATTTTCAGATTAGGAATGTTCAATCTGTGATGTATTTGTTTAGCTCTCTGCGATAGTCAAGTGAAAGTCTGTGTTATTTTGCTTTTTTTCCCCTTAGGTGTCTTTGCCTTTTGGAAACTTATCCGTATCTGAGTACAAACACTACTTTGACCAGGTTGTTTACCTCTGACTCAAAATCTTCCTGGGGGTGTCATTGCCAATGTAGTGATAACATCAGTCTCTGGAACTTCTTATTATCATATTCTTTATTCTTTTTCCCCCTAAAGTAAAAATTCTTTTTACAGATTAGAAAAATTTATGTTAGCTTTATTGTGGTAAAATTGATGTACAATAAATCACACATATGTAAAGTATACAATTTGGTAAGTTTCAACATGTGCCTACTTCCATAAAACCATCACTACAATCTAGCTGATGAATAGATCCTCTCATTTCCCTCTCTAATCCCTCCCTCCTACCTTCTGCTCCTGCATCCTCTGTCTTCCTCGACATCTGCTGACATGCTTTCTGTCATAGTTCAGTTCATATTTTTCTAGAATTTTATATAAATTAAGTTTCTATAAATATAAATGTGTCCTGTTTTCTGGTCTGGCTACTTTCACTCAGTGTAATTATTTTGGATTCACCTATGTGGTGGAACGTATCTGTAGTTCATTCTTTTTTCTTGCTGTATGTCATTGTATGGATATGCAGTATTCCCCCTTAACCTATACCTTCCAAGACCACCAGTGAATGCCTGAAACCATGGATAGTACCAAACACTATATATACTATGTTTTTTCCTACATACATATCTATAATAAAGTTTAACTTATGAATTAGGCACAGTAAAAGATTGAGAATAATAACTAATAATAAAATAGAGCAATTATAATAATATAGTATGATAAAAGTTATGTGAATGTGGTCTCTTTCTCTCAAAATATTTTATTGTACTTTACACACCTATTTTTGGACCACGCTGACTGAGAGTAACCAAAACCTGGGATAAGGGGGGACTACTGTACCAGTTTGTTTATCCAGTTATCTGTTGATAGACATTTGGCTTATTTACAGCTTTTGGCTGTTAAAAATAAAACTGCTGTGAACATATACGTACAAAGCTTTGTGTGGATATCTGGTTTCTTTTTTCTTGGGTAAATACATAGAATGGCTCAGTCACATGTTAGGTATAAGTTTAAATTTTTGTAAAACTGCCAAACCATCTTATGAATTTTGCAAAGAGACAAAGTAAGCTAAATTGTCTCTGATTACTTCTGGACTCTGAACATTTTCTCCAAGTACCTTATATTCTTTGCAGTCTAAAAGTAAAACATACATATTCCTTTAACAAATAATTGGGGGAAAAATGAGAAGTCTTATAATGTTCGAGTAGTGAAAGTATCCATACACCGCACTAAAATACTACACACTTCTTAAATGATTGAGAACTTCTAAGAAAAAGGGTTTTGTTTTTTATTATGTTTATTCAGTGTAGTACATTTTGCTGTAACAAGTTAGAAGAAAAGTGGAGATATTTCTTCACATTAATTTTTATATTCTTTTCCATCATAGGAAAAAGAATTCTAGTTTTAAATGGAGGCTACAGAGGAAATGAAGGTACCCTAGAATCCATCAATGAGAAGACTTTTTCAGCTACTATCGTCATTGAAACTGTAAGTTTGTTTACACAAAGACAGAAATTTCAAAATGCTTTAAAAATGTGCCATAGTTTTTTTTAATTGGATTGTTCTTTATTTTAGAATTTGAGTTTTTTGTTAGCCTTCTATCCTATTTGGAAATCTGTAAGCTTATTTTCTCCAGTGACTCTGCCATTGCTAAAGTATTTTATTTTCTGATTATAAAAGAAATGTGTACTCATGCATAAAACCCCAAAAAACATAATTTAATATAAATAATTATAAAAATTAATCATAGTCCCCCAGCCCAACAATAAACCCCATTAATATTTTGGTCTGTTCCTTTCCAATCTTGGTGTTTTATGAAAGTGTGTGTAATAGGTACAGTTTTATATCCTTTTTTCCCCTCATATCGAATATAAAACTCAATTTGGCATAGTAAAGTTAGTGGGGGAAGTAAAGTCATTGTCAAGAGGGAGGGAACCACAGAGGTCAACCACTTTTTAAAATGTCTCCCCTTTTTTCATAAAGGATTTAAGGTAGCAGAGATCAATACAGTAATTTAAAGAACTCTGACTTATAAATAAAGTTGGTTATTGACTTAGAACTGATATTTCACTCACAGGTCTGTGAGTGAGGTCTGAGATATCTTCAGAAAGAAAGTTTCCTTTTAGAACTCTGAACTACTGCACTGCATATCTTTGATGCTAAACAAAAGAATTTTTTATCTCCAGTACAGTCAGTTTTAGTATTTCTGGGGGAGCTTGGGAGTAATAGCTCACTTAGAGAGTTTAATGAAAGTTTAGACTCTTCAAAACATTGCACATAATTGCCAAATTTTATTTGTTCTCTTGGGGAGTTTATAGGCCCCCTAAGCCCATGGACCTGTTAGAGAATATGTGTCTAGGAAGGTTTTCTGGAAAAACCATTTAGGTCCTTATTTGAGAGAATTCTCATTTCAGTAAATCAAGCTTTTCTCCTTTTTTTTTTTCTTTCTGATCCTGACAATGCTAACCTAGAAGCTGTTACTTGCTAACTGTTACTAACGTAAACTAAGGGGAAGAAAGGGAAAAAGGACTCCTACTTGGCATTGAGGAACATGTCAGTCTGACTAAATTAGCAGATTGAGTTTTAACAAAAAACTCTATAAGATTTTCTCTGACTCTATCAGCATAAGGCAGTAGAAAATCCAGTATTTCCTTGACAACTTGCTTATCCTTCCCTTATTAATTTCTTTTTTTTTTTTTTTTGCATGGACCATGCATGAAACTTACCTTATTAATTTCATAGTGCTATCAAATGCAGATCCTGTTTCATGTTTTCATCTCAGGGAAACACAAAACAACTGATTACTGTTGAGGCTGTGTTGAGTTCCATCTCGATACCTTTGGTTCGCAGGTTGTGTCCATTCATCAAAAACTAATTTCTCACCTTCTGCACTGTAGACCCAGTTTCATCTTCTGTACTGAGGTAGAACTTAGCAGCAAATCCACATGAAAAGCCTTTCTGTTTGATTGCAAAGCAACATGTACTTCTTTTAGAAGAGGGAATCTACCAGCTTGGCATGGTGGCTCATGCCTGTAATTCCAGCACTTTGGGAGGCTGAGGCGGACGAATCACCTGAGGTCAGGAGTTCGAGACCAGCCCGGCCAACATGGAGAAACCCCATCTCCACTAAAAATACAAAAATTAGCTGGGCGCGGTGGCAAATGCCTGAAGTCCCAGCTCGGGAGACTGAGGCAGGAGAATCGCTTGAACCTGGGAGGCAGAGATTGCAGTGAGCCAAGATTGCGCCACTTACTCCGGCCTGGGTGACAGCGAGACTCCGTCTCAAAAAAAAAAAAAAAGGGAATCTGTCTCCTAATTTTTTTTTCTTCCTTTCTTCAGCCTGTCCTCATTAAAAAAAAAAAAAAAATCTCTGTATATGCTTGTGTCATCACTTGAGCTTTGCAAGTGGTTATTTTTATCATTTCTGGCACCTTAAGTTTTCATGTCGTTGATAATATTTGAAATTTATACATATATCAAGCAGATTTTTAACATCCAATAAATTGTTCCTAAATAGCTTCAGCTTTTTAGCTATTTGCCCTATAAGCCCAAATGTCTGGCTCCCTTCTTATTCTCCAGATTTATGGTACTTATCAGAAAAATGTAATTGACCATAGACCATTAAACATGATAATGAAAAATCTAACCTAGGTTATACTTTATCTGGGAACTTAATTCCTTTAAATATGATAATTATTTGTTGTGAAGGGAAGCAGTAAAAAAATGTTAAAATCTCAGTTCTAGGGTTAGAGTCATCATCATTGTCATCATCATTATTGTCATCATCATCATGTTATATTTTGCAAGGGAGAGGATTAACTGTCAAATTTAATTTTAATTTTATTTAATTTAATTTTATTTTATTTTATTATTTATTTTCAAGACAGAGTCTCACTCTGTCGCCCAGGCTGGAGTGCAATGGCGCGATCTCAGCTCACTGCAACCTCTGCCTCCGGGTTCAAGAAATTCTTCTGCTCCAGCCTCCCAAGTAGCTGGGATTACAGGTGTGTGCCACCATGCCCAGCTAATTTTTATATTTTTAGTAGAGATAGGGTTTCACTATGTTGGTCAGGCTGGTCTCAAACTCCTGACCTCAGGTGATCCACCTGCCTCGGCCTCCCAAAGTGCTGGGATTACAGATGTGAGCACTGCGCCCGACCCAACTCTCAAATTTTAAACAAAAGATTAAATAATAATTAGAGTTGAAAATTATTGAGCTCTCACTCATATTAAGTTCCAGGTCTAGTCACTTTATATGAAATAACTCATTTATATTTCCCAACAACCCAATCATACAGACATTACCATTATTTCCACTGGGAGATAATAAGGCACAGAGAGGAAACTGAAGGACAGAGAGGTTAAATCAATTGTTGAAAGTGAGATTTGAACTTGGGGAGTGTAGGTTCACAGCCCATATTCTTAGCCTCTGTGTTCCCAGGTTATATCCGCTTTTGTGATAGAAAATATCTTTCATTAATTAAGTTTTCCTCTTTCCCTTTTTGTTCGATATGAAAGAAGAAAATAAAGTTAAAGTTGGACTCTTTTTATAATCTGGACCAGTGTAACTATCACAGCCAACCTAGACAAACATGTTTGAGTATCGTAATGCTTACAAAATGATATTTCCTATAAAAAAAAGAAAACCCCAAATGGACAATGGCACAAACATGGTAGAAGTTAACGTTTCACTCTAAAAACCCCAAATGGGTATTTTTGATCAGGGAACTCTTTCTAAGTGGCGATTTGTGAACCCAGGGTCCTTCCAGCTAGTGCCTCTACTGCCCTCAAGTGGCATCTCCAGTTGCCATGTCTGTGTGCACTGGGCAGGCAAAAGGAGCTTGGCAGATTGTGTGTCAGTTATAGCACGTCTGGACCGTCACTTCTGTTTGCTTTCATGGGCTGGAGCTCCATGCATGGCCACAGCTAACCACAAGGGAGCCAGGAAACTGGCTATTTATCCAGGAAGCAGAGGAGATACTGAACAGCTTGCAGGTCTCTGCCACAATGTCTATTGATAACGTATGTCAGATGTCACAGAAGAAAATATGGTAGTTCTTAATGAGAATGCCATAGATTATTCTTAAAATTCATAGATGTATACAAATGTTAACAATCTTAATGGTATTTTAGGGATGCGGAAAAGGCAAATTTGTATCCATAAGTATGGTGTCATTTTTTTGTCTTTTAGGAATATGTGTTTTTAACCTTATTTTAAATTATTTTAATTTGTAGGGCCCTTTAAAAGGACGCAGAGTTGAAGGAATTCAATATGAAGACATTTCTAAACTTGCCTGAGTTTGAAAATTTGTTAACAATACATTAAAATCTTAAAGCATCAAATTGGTGTTCGCCAAGGCATTATGAGACTCTACTGTGTTAGGGTATATTCTTTTGTATAAAACAAACAGGTTTTTGAAAATATTACTGTATAGTTGTTCAGCTAAACTTTGAGAAGAATTTAATTATGTCTCATGAGGTATCAAACTATGTAATTTTGTCCTTGTTATTTTTGTTTCCTTTGTAATTTACTTGATGAGTTTATATCTTCATTAAAGAATGTTATTATAAAGTGTTTTATCTATGACAATTTAGAATCATGTAATTGGAGGAAATCCTTCATACACTCTATATTTTCAGTAGTAGAGTAGTAAAGTTGAACTCTAAGTGTGACTAAATTTTAAATGTCAAACTATAAATATAGAAGCAGCTTTATTGTGGTAATAATTCATATACCATACAGTTCACTCATTTAAAATATACATACAATTCAGTGGTTTTTAGTATTTTTGCAGAATTGTGCAGCCATCACCACTGTCTGATTTTAAAACACTTTCATACCCCAAAATGAAACCCTTTAATAGTCAATCGCTATTTTTCCCCTCTGCCCTAGCCCTAGACAGCCACTAATGTACTTTCTGTCTCTATGGATTTGCCCTTTCTGGACATTTCTTATAAATGGAATCATATAATATGTGATCTTTTATGACTGGCTTCTTACACTTAGCATCATGTTTTCAAGGTTTATCCATGCAGTAGCATGTAGGCGTGCTTCATTTGTTTTTATGGCTGCTTAATATTCCACTGTATGGATGTACCGTATTTTGTTTGTCCATTCATCAGCTGATAAACATTTAGATTGTTTCTACTTTTTGGCTATTGTGAATAATGCTGCCATGATCACCCATTTACAGGATTTTATGTGAACAGAAGCTTTCGCTTCTGCCAAACTCTTCCAGAGCAGCTATACCATTTTACAGTCCTACCAGCAATGTTGAACTATAGTTTTATTTGTTTTTAATTTTTTTACTTTTAGAGACATGGTCTCACTGTGTTGCCCAGGCTGCTGTCAAACTCCTGGGCTCAAGTGATCCTCCTGCCTCAGCCTCCCAAAGTGCTAGGATTGCAGGTGTGAGCCACAGCACCCTGCCTAACCATACAGTTTGAAATAAGTAGGGCAGTGTATTATTAGGGAATGCAAAAGACAGGAAACCCACATTTGCCTGTGCCAAAGGAAAAACGAAGGGATATTTGTAGTGCACATGACTGAAAGGAGCAGACGCTAGCTTCCAGGGCAGCGGGACCGGGTGTGAACAGCCTTCCCTGGGCTTCCGCTCTGTCTCTGGCTCCTGTGCTGGCTCTCTACATTTACATTCTTGAGCACTCTAGGTTTACATCTTACCCTTCAGCAGCACCGGGAAGAGAGAGATGATCTATCTTTTCTTTTTCTTTTTTTTTTTTTTTCTGACACAGAGTCTCACTCTGTCACCCAGGCTGATTGCAGTAGTGCAATCTCGGCTCACTGCAACCTCCACCTCCCGGGTTCAAGCCATTCTCCTGCCTCAGCCTCCTGAGTAGCTGGGACTACAGGCATGCGCCACCACGCCCAGCTAATTTTTGTAATTTTAGAAGAGATGAGGTTTCACCATGTTGGCCAGGATGGTCTCGATCTCTTGACCTTATGATCTGCCCGCCTCAGCCTCCCAAAGTGCTGGGATTACAGGCATGAGCCACTACGCCTCTTTTTTTTTGTTCTGTTTTTTGAGATAGGGTCTTGCTCTGTCATCCAGCCTGGAGTGCAGTGGCACAATCATGGCTCACTGCAGCCTCGTCCTCCTGGGCTTAGGTCATTGATTCTCCCACCTCAGCCTCCCGAGTAGCTGGGACTACAGGCATGCACTACCATGCCTGGCTAATTTTTTTGATTTTTAGTAGAGATGAGGTCTTGCTATGTTGCCCAGGCTGGTCTCAAACTCTTGAGCTCAAGCAATCCTCCTGCCTCGGCCTTCTAAAATGTTGTGATTACAGGTGTGAGCTACCACGCCTTGCCTGAGTTGATCTTCTACAAGAGTTCAAACAAAAAACAGACCATACCAGGATGATCACTTCAAACATGAGGATGGGTATAAGCTGACGTCAGACACAGGTATGGTGCCAAACCCTGGGATCTCTCTCTTTAACTGAGAGTCAGGGAGGGCTGATTGCTTCTATTCTCAGAAGATGGGAGAACGTATGCTGTTAGCAGAAATGTAAGAGGCAGTAAAGAAATACTAATAGGATGATGGCAGAAGCTTTACAGAAAATGTTCCTCAGGGATGAATTAAGGTTTTTCCAAAGTAACCTGACAGCACATTATGGAAAGCAACTGGGTTTTGGGTGTGGGCAGTCTTTAGATCAAATTCTGGCAGTTCTGTTCATTGGCTTTGTAATATTAGAATGTTAATGTTCTTGAATTGCAATGTTTTTAATGTATAAATTGTCAAAATGTTTTTCAGCAGGGTTGATGGGAGACCTACAGAAAATACATATAAATCATCAGACATGAAGTCCAGCACATAGTAGGTATTGAATAAATGGCAGTGAGTGGTCATGTCCAGAAATGAAGCCAAGAAGTTGAGCCTGGACTACTAAGAATCTGGTCTGAAGAATTTCAAAAAGGAGAATGGTTCTCCCTGATAACAAATAGTGATGAGTAAAACCAGACAAATTACATATGCCTCCCCCAAGTATGTACGTTTGGAATCAACTTGGTGGTTTTCTTCAGAGAAAAAATGTTTCATGTCTGCCTCCCACATTTAATTCTCCAACGTCTTTCTGAAATTATTTCAGAATGAAATGAGGCAGCATACTTGAGGTTAAATTCAATAAAAAATATCTGAAGCATAAAAATACGATTATAGACTTCACAGTAGTTTTTTCCCTCTGAGTCTGTAGAACTTGATAGAGTTTATGCTAAGCAAAATGACTGCAGATAACTAACAACAGGTCTCATATTAGACTTTGATTTTTGAAGTATCATAAGCTATTTTTCTTTATTTCAAACATAGACTTTACTTTTTAGAGCAGTCTCTGTGGGTTTTGACAAATGTATAATGACATGCATCTGCCACTGTAGTATCACACAGAACAGTTTCACTGCCCTAGAAGTTTCCTGTGTTCTGTCTGTTCCCTGTCTCCCCCCAAATCCCTGCTGACCGCTGATCTTTTTACTGTCTCCCTAGTTTTGTCTCCATCGAAGGTCATATAGTTGGAGTCACACAGGGTGTAGCTTTTTCAGATTGGCTTCTTTCACCTGGTAGAACATATGCATGTAAGGTTCCTCCATGTTGTTTTGGTTAGGTTTTTGTGGCTCGATAGCGCACTTCATTTTAGCACTGCATATTCTATTGTCTGAATGCACCACAGTTTATGCACTCACCTACTGAAGGATATCTTGGTTGCTTACAAGGTTTGGAAATTATGAGTAAAGCTGCTACAAACATCTGTGCGCAGGTTTTTTGTGGATAGACGTTTTCAACTTATTTACGTAACGACCAAAGAGCACAATTGCTGGATCATATGCCAGGAGTCTTCTGAGAAACTACCAACCTGTCTTCCAGAGTGACTGTACCATTTTGTATTCAAACGAGCAGTGAATGAGAGTTCCTGCTGCTCTGCATCTCCGTCAGCATTTGATGTTGTCAGTGTTCTGGATTTTGGCCATCTTAATAGCTGTACAGTGGGATCTTGTCATTGCTTTAATTTGCATTTCTTTGATGAAGTATGATGTGGAGCATCTTTTCATGGGCTTATTTGCCACCTGTATATCTTCTCTGGTGAGATGTCTTTCAGGTTTTTTGCCCATTATTTAATTGGGTTACTCATTTTCTTATTGTTGAATTTTAAGAGTTGTTTGTATATTTCAGTTGTGTTCTTTATCGAATGTGTCTTTTGCAAGTATTTTCTCTCAGTCAGTGGCCTGTCTTCTCATTTTGTTTTAAGCTATTCTTTTTTAACACCCCAAGATTTTCATCGTTACTTTTTTTTTTTTTTTTTTTTTTTTTTTTTTTTTTTTTTGAGACGGAGTCTCGCTCTGTCGCCCAGGCCGGACTGCGGACTGCAGTGGCGCAATCTCGGCTCACTGCAAGCTCCGCTTCCCGGGTTCACGCCATTCTCCTGCCTCAGCCTCCCGAGTAGCTGGGACTACAGGCGCCCGCCACCGCGCCCGGCTAATTTTTTGTATTTTTAGTACATCGTTACTTTTAAGACCACTGTGCACACATAAAATACTAAAAGCTAAACTTAATATCTGCAGGTAGAAGTTTTAAATTCAAGATTTTAACCAAATAACAGAGTTAATGCTAAAATCTCACTTTTGAAGTTTATGTTGAATATTAGCATTCTAATATTTAATATTTTTCTATTTTTGAAATAGGAAATGGAAAAGATGCAGTAGGTTTTTCAAAAGGGTATCATAGGTGAGCACTTCTTATAGAAGAAGAAAACTAAGAGGTAGTGCTATTTACCTCTTCAGCACTAAGTTTATCTTTATTTTTATTTATTTCTATAAAGAGATGGGAGTCTCACTGTGTTGCTTAGGCTGGTCTTGAACTCCTGGCCTCCAGTGATGCTCCTGCCTTGGCCTCCGAGAGTGCTGGGATTATAGGCATGAGGCACCACACCCAGCCAGTAATCTTTAGCTTCTAGAAACAATCAGATTTCCTTAAGATTTTGCAATTAGGTTTAGAGGAGCTCACTTGCTTTTTCAAATATGGGTTGGATATGTCCAAAAAAAGAGTTTTGCCTCTACAATGAAAAATGATTTTTACCAGATTATGGAAAGGAAGATTCATAAAAATGTGCCTTTAAAAAGCTTTTTTAAAGTGCAAGTTCACCAATTTGACTTTTGAAAATACGTTCATTTTAGGAATTGATTTTTTAAGGAAAGTTGTAAACACAGCAAAGCACAGAATTACACTGGTTCAGACTTGCATCTTAGCACCAAAATCCACTATACAAATGCAGACAGCATAAAGTAACCTAGTTTCGCTTTAAATTTGTTGCTTATTTTATTCTCCCTTATAAATGTCATTGGTCTTTTGTTAGAACATAATTTACTACTTTATTTTGAAATAAAGTCTAAGATTTAGCATGTAAGTGGTATTACTCAGAAATGGTTTAAATGCAAATGAAATAACAGTTCTACCAGGAGTACTAAAAAAGATGCTGTGTTCAAGGTATATTAAATTTGTGTGAAACTTGATTCACAGACACAGAGGGCTTCCAGAGAATTTGGAACTATGATTCAGAATTCATTTAGCAACATTAACAATGTGTATAATTAGCCATCTGAGGTAACATCCTGAGCGATTTTAAATATGTGCAGAATTTGGGAGCAACAAAAACTCCAAGTAGGGCTGGGCATGGTGGCTCACGCCTGTAATCCCAGCTACTTGGGAGGCTGAGGCAGGAGGATCGCTTGAACCCGGGAGGTGGAGGTTGCAGTGAGCCGAGATTGTGCCACTGTGCTCCAGCCTGGGCAACAAAGGGAGACCCCATCTCAAGAAAAAAAAAAAAGTAAAGCAAATCACCCTCCCTTGTGTGGGTGGGCCTCGTCTAATAGTCAAAGGCCTGAATAGAACAAAAATGCTGACTTCCCAAAGTCGGGGGATTCTCTAGTGTACGGCCTTCGAACTTCATCTGCAGCATCAGCTCTTCCTGCCTGATGGCTTTTGAGCTGGAACACTGGCTCCTCCCTAGTTCTCCTGTACCATCAGCCTACTCTGCAGATTTTGGATTTACAAGCCTCCATAATCACATGAGCCAATCCTTATTGTAAATCTCCTATGGGTTCTGTTTTCCTGGAGAACTATGGCTAATCCAGGCCTCATAAACTCAAAAGGGACCCAGGGACCAACACTATGAAGAGAATCTTGGCTAAAAATACTGGGCTATCACAGGCACCATAGCAAGGCTATCCTTGCTTTAGTATAAATCTCTACAGAGGGTAACAGGGCTTTAGTATAAATCTCTACGAAGCACCTAAGATCAAGTAACCCCCATTTCTTGTTCTATGCTCACCATATAACCCTCTCATAATTGTACTTCCCATGTAACTAGCAGTGTAAAAATGGACGCGATCTGCAAGGTTGAGGACCTGAGACTCAACAGCAGTGAAATGATCAGCTGGGCATGGTGGCTCACACCTGTAATCCCAGCACTTTGGACGGCTGAGGCGGGAGAATCACTTGAGCCCAGGAGTTTGAGACCAGCCTGGGCACCATAGTGAGACCTCATCTCTGCAAAAAACAAAAATTAGCCAGGCATAGTGACATGCGACTGTAGTCCCAGCTGCTAGGGAGGTTGAAGTGGGTGGATTGCTTGTGCCCAGCTTGAGGCTGAAGTGAGCCATGATCACGCCACTGCACTCCAACCTGGGCAACAGAGCGAGACCCTGTCTCAAAAAAAAGAAAGAAAAGATATTAATAAATGATCACAGTAAACACCAAATTTAAGGCTCTTCCAGACGCTGGCTTGTCTCGGCACCACCTTGATCCACACACTTCGGCATCTAAAAATGCAACAAAATCCTAAAAGCTCATTTGTAAAATGTTTATTTTCTTAGGTGTGTTTACAGGCTTTATAAACCACCCTGATATCTGGTTCATTTTAATTAACCACCCTGATATCTGGTTCATTTTAATTATTCAAACCGAAGAATATCTGCAAAAGTGACAGGGGAAAGATGTATATTAATATATATAATTTCCCAAACTATAAACCTTTAAGGCCGTTTGAGAAAGCTGTAGAGCTGAGGCACGAAGTAATCCTTGTAATGCCCGTCAATGAATCCTTTTCCACTGTTGTGCACAAACCAGCAGGTAACGTCCGTTCCAAACACTAGATCCGTTCTGTAGTCTTTCTGTAAGCCCCTGCAAGGAAGCAAGGCATGTGGTTAGGGGGAGACTGAGCACCTCTAGACACAAGACTCCCTCTTTTCCTTGCTGTTCTTCGTGTTCCTTCTGTCACCACATCTGCCGCCCCCCACCTATCGCTGCTCCCCAAGTCATGTGAAAAAGAAACACCAAGTCTGGGGCTTGGTGTTGGAAGCACAGAGAATCAGCGAAGCGTCCTTGGAGAACTCAAAGAACCCTTAGAGTTGACCTATATGGGCTTTTCCAGCGAGGGAAACAGTAGCCAATGGAAAGAAGGCAGGAACAAGACTCCACAGTGTTGAGGCTGACCTCACAGGTCACTTAAAGAATGAGTCAGCAGCCAGGCATGGTGGCTCACGCCTGTAATCTCAGCGCTTTGGGAGGCTGAGGTGGGCGGACCACTTGAGGCCAGGAGTTCAAGACCAGCCTGGCCAACATGGTGAAACCCTGTCTCTACTAAAAATTAAAAGAAAAATTACCTGGGCATGGTGGTGTACGCCTGTAGTCCCAGCTACTTGGGAGGCTGAGGCAAGAGAATTGCTTGAACCCAGGAGGTGGAGGTTGCAGTGAGCCCAAGATACGTCACTGCACTCCAGCCTGGGCGACAGAGCAAGACTCTGTCACTAAAAAAAAAAAAAAAAAAAAAAAAAAAAAAAAAAAAAGAATGCATTGGCGGCACCTCTTAACTGCACTTTCTCTGTGTTTAAGAGTGATACCTGCTGTTTCTGAGCAGATTCATGTCCTCCACTTGAAGGGCAAAGTAGCCAACAATTTGTTAAGGATCTCGTTCACACTGCGTGAACGAGACTTAAAAGTATCACTGTGCCCAGCCCACGGGACAGCTCAGTTTCAGTTATGAACCATGAGGTGCTTGCAGTGGACCAAATCGAGGCCCAGCATTTACTTTTTGTCATTATAGTAAATATATATATATATGTATACATATATTTATTTATATATGTATATATAAATATATATACATATTTTATGAGATGGAGTCAGGCTGGAGTGCAGTGGTGCTATCTCTGCTCACTGCAACCTCTGCCTTCCGGGTTCAAGTGATTATCCTACCTCAGCCTCCCGAGTAGCTGGGAATACAGGCGCCCGCCACCACACCCGGCTAATTTTTGTATTTTTAGTAGAGATGGGGGGGGTTTCAACATGTTGGCAAGTTGGTCTTGAACTCCTGACCTCAGGTTATCCACCCACCCAGGCCTTGCAAAGTGCTGGGATTACAGGCGTGAGCCACTGCGCCTGGCCTATTTATATATTATGTATTTATTTATGAGACAGGTCTCTCTCTGTTACCCAAGCTGGAGTGCAGAGGCACAATCATAAGTCACTTCATCCTCGAACTCCTGGGTTCAACGGATCCTCCCACCTCAGCCTCCTGAGTAGCTGGGGCTATAGGCAGAATCTACTACACCTGGATAATTATTTTTATATTTATTTTTATTTTTGTAGAGATGGAGTCTTACTATGTTGCCCAGGCTGGTCTTGAACTCCTGGTCTCAGGTGATCCTCCCACATTGGCCTCTCAAAGCATTGGGATTACAGGCATGAGCCACCATGCCTGGCAGTAAATGCCCTTCTACCAACTTCAGATAACTTACTATTAACATTAATAATTTGTGCTCACCATTGCTTCTGTGACACATGCTCACTGATTCCCGTCGGTACCTCATTCCTCCCATAAACTGATACTAATTGAATGGCATATTCACTAAGAATCCATTGTTTCAGTTCACAAATCTACTTTCGTGGCAATACTTCCGACTACAATTTTATGTTACAATGTTATGGTTTAATTAAGTATGTCAAAGCCAATGACATTTGTGGGCGTGAAGAATCCTTTCTAATAAAGCAAAGTTGGCTGCTTTGTAAAAACTCTAAAAAGGGGTAAGCTGCTTTAAAACGGTATCAAATTTGGCATGGGTGAGACAACTGTAAAGGACTGGGAAAAAATATCAAGATTTGTAAGACTTTTACACTCAGAATGCGTTATGAGCGTCTAAGTTCTCACTTCAGATGAAGCATATGGGGGTGGTTTGTGTAAGAAAAGCTACAAAAAAAGCAGTCAGAGATCCCTGTGCAAAAGGAAAACTCTAGCCTGATGTAAAAATCTACATTCATTCTGCAGCACTATGGTAATAGGTGTTTTATGATTCTCTCCTTTGATCAACGTGTCTGGTTATCCAACTTGTGAAGCTCTTGTGAGGGCTTCTAAAGTATGAAGATGAGAACAACAGGTTAGTTAATCTTGGCATTGCATGACCCTAGATACCCAGTCATTATTTGCATTTAACGTGGGATATCAGAAGTGTCCTTAT
Organism: Homo sapiens; assembly: GCF_000001405.40. Taxonomy (NCBI): domain Eukaryota; kingdom Metazoa; phylum Chordata; class Mammalia; order Primates; family Hominidae; genus Homo; species Homo sapiens. The sequence continues at coordinate 7,746,853 of NC_000010.11, read as the reverse complement.
GCGAATGCTGTGTGCGTCTATTCCTAATGAACTGCTTAGTGTGATGTAGGTAGTGCCTACGACACTTCTTCTTTGCTCCTCTATTTTGCTGTGTGGGTCTAATTCTAACACAAGGCCTTTTCGTCACTGTCCTTACGCCCGAGGCCTACCTGGTGATGATCAGCTTCTGCCCCTTCACTTCCATGCTGGCCTCTGGCTTCTCAGGGTCCTTTCCTGGTCTCTCATTGAAGATGTGTATCTTTGGTTCCTGCATGAACTGGCCTAGCAAAACAGAATCAGACATTGATTGACATGTAATCATAGTTAAATAAAAAGAGGCTCATTATTGACTCCATGCTACCTTTCGGTCCTCCCTCCAGGATTTCTAGGGTGGAAAGACAAGCTGAGAGGAAAAAGGAGTGGTGATGGGAGGGAGGGTCCTTCCTGGGAGCACATTTGTGCTGCTCACCATCTTTTTTTTATTTTTATTTTTTTAATTTGAGGCAGGATCTCCCTCTGTTGCCCAGGCTGGAGTGCAGTGGTGCTATCTCGGCTCACTGCAACCTCCACCTCCTGGGCTCAAGTGTTCTTCCCACCTCAGCCTCCCAAGTAGCTGGGACCACAGGCGTGAGCCACTACGCCTGGCTAATTTTTTGTAGAGACAGGGTTTCACCGTGTTGCACAGGTTGATCTTGAACTCCTGGACTCAAGCGATCCACCCACCTCAGCCTCCCAAAGTGCTGGGATTACAGGTGTGAGCCACTACTCACAGCCTTTTTTTTTTTTTTTTTTTTTTTTTTTTTTTTAAATTTAAGATTTGGGGCCGGGTGTGGTGGCTCACACCTGTAATCCCAGCACTTTGGGAGGCCGAGGTGGGCAGATCACCTGAGGTTGGGAGTTTGAGACCAGCCTGACCAACATGGAGAAACCCCATCTCTACTAAAAATACAAAATTAGCTGGGCGTGGTGGTGCATGCCTGTAATCCCAGCTACTCGGGAGGCTGAGGGAAGAGAATCGCATGAACCGGGGAGGCAGCGGTTGCGGTGAGCCGAGATTGCGCCACTGCGCTCCAGCCTGGGCAACAAGAGAGAAACTCCATCTCATAAATTAATGAATTAATTAATTTAAGAGATGGAGTCTCCCTCTGTCACCCAGGCTGGAGCACAGTGGCACAGTCATAGCTCACTGCAGCCTCCAATTCCGGGGCTCAAGAGATCCCACCTCAGCTTCCTGAGTAGCTGGGACTCCAGGCAGGCTCCACCATACCCTGCTAATTATTTTTATTTTCTAATTTTTTGGTAGAGATGGGGTGCCCAGGCTGCCCTTGAACTCCACAAGCAAATCCACCTGCCCAGGCCTCCTAAAGTGCTGGGATTACAGGCACGAGCCACCATGCCTGGAGCTCATGGTCATTTTATACATGAGGTTGGTCTAGTGGATTGTAAGTAAATCGAGCACCCTGATGGCAGGAGAATGAGGTGAGCACCTGAGAGTATAGCTCAGATCACAGGAAAAAGTTTTGTTTGTGATGTCACAGGCTTTATATTTGAGCCCTTCTTAAAATACTAGGGACATTTGTCCAGAGTGTTCTGCTTGTTATCACAGACCTCCTAAATGGGTTCATCTTGCTTCAGTTAGAAAAAAATCTTTAACATAAAACTTAAAATGTATCTGTCCCTTCTCTTAACTTGCCCAGTTTGTGATGCTGAAATCCTGGCCCTGGACAACCTTGTCTGGAATGGCAAAAGGTCCTGGCTGTCACATTCCCGAGCGACCCCACACTGCTATGTTAGTCCTCTGTGCTCATGAGTCCACACCTGCCATGTCCTCAACTTGTAACCACTGTCAACCAAAGCTGCTAAAGAATTAGAGCGGCCCCACCCTTGTCAGATGGTCAATAGACACTTTACCTATTAGTCCGTGGGCTTTAGGTGAGAACTTGTTTGTAGGGGGTATGTAGATTCCCAGAAAGTCAACATTGACGGGATGCTTCTTCCAAACACGATGAAGTAAAACAGAAAAGGACATCTCTTTATCCAGGGTGATAGTTACCACTTTTTCTTTCTTCACTGAGATCTGCACCCTGGTGTGAAAGTCCAAGAGGAATTAAACCATTCCAGAACAGACCTTTTGAGAAAGTCATTCTTCTCACCCCTAATATGAACTCTTCACTCCTCCCAGACAATTCCGCTAGTTATCTAAGCGCTTGCAACAGTTTATAGATAAATGATGGATTAACAGAAACTCATTGGGAAGCTTCTACGCAGAGGACACAATCATGGCGTTTGGAGCTCACTCTGCGATAGAGTCAGTATGGATTTCAGCTGGTGGATTTGTTCACTGATTAGCACATACACAGTGAGTGTTTACTGATGCCAGGCACTGGACTAGGTCCTGGGACCCAACGGTGACCAAAAACACACAGTGCCCACTGCCAGGAACAGAGTAGGGAGTGAGAACAATTTTTCTGAACCTCAACTTCCTTATATTTAAAATGATGATTTTTTTTCAATGTTGATGTCACTGATGCCTGGATTTATTTATGCAGTCGTGTGTCACGGACAGGCCCAAGTTCAGATGGAATCATACTTGCCTCTGATTCGTGACTTGAGCCGTGTCGGACCAGGACAAGGAGAATGTGCTAGAACCATGGCTCAGGGTGATGGTCTCAGTGCTGATTTCTATTTTTATGTCTTCACTTTGGAAATAAAATCCCAGTTTTCCAAAATAGGTGCTTAGTTTTCCATTGTTGGGCTTCTTGGCACCAACAAGCTGACCGTTGACTACAATTCCTACAGGAAAGAAAAAAATGATGTTTTCTCTTCTGTGCCATTTATTTTGCATGTGTGGGTACTATAATTCAAATTTATAAAAACTTGGCAATATTGGAAAATTATTATAATTTTGCTTCAAGATTTACATTAACATTTTCTTCTTTGTGATTCTCATTTTATAACATGTTAATATAACATTTATAAATTTTAATAAAATTTAATTTAATAATTTTATATCAGTTATAAAATTTAATTGTCAGTTTATAAAATTTAAATAATTGACTATCATATAGTATTTAAATTTTTTGTTGTTGTTTTTGAGACGGAGTCTTACTCTGTCACTCAGGCTGGAGCGCAATGGTGTGATCTTGGCTCACTGCAACCTCCACCTCCCGGGTTCAAGCAATTCTCCTGCCTCAGCCTCCTGAGTAGCTGGGATTACAGGTGTGTACCACCACGCCTGGGTAATTGTTTTTGTATTTTTAGTAGTGGGGGGTGGGGTTTCATCATTTTGACCAGGCTGGTCTCGAACTCTTGACCTCAGATGATCCGCCCACCTCGGCCTCCCAAAGTGCTGGGATTGCATGTGTAAGCCACCGTTCCTGGCTCATATTTAAATTAATTATATCACAACAAGATCTGCAAGTTCATACTCAGAGTATATATTTTGAACTATAATGGTTCAAAATAGTTAAGAATATATTTATAATTTAATTTCTCACTAATATCACTGAAATATATAGAACTTCTATTAAGCTGAGAAAGAAAGAAATCCCAGGCAGTGACAGGAAAGCATGACAATGACCTAATTGGTGCAAATATAATTTATTTTTATTTTACCTGATTCTGGGTCAGAAACCAGGTTGAGGATTTTTCCAGGTTCTGAGTCAATATTGAAACAAATGTTCTTTTGGCTTTTTGGTAGATAAATGATGAAATGTGGGTCATTTTCAACTGGAAAATATACAAAGAAAACGTAAACAAAATCATTAAAAGGAAGATGATTTTGAGCACTATGTCATTCCTGAACATCTTTAATTTAATCAGAACAAATATTTATTGTGCTTCTCCTACATGCTCGGTACTCCTCCAGGTCTTGGGGACCCAGTGGTTCATACTCCATTGTCCCTTTGTCACGGAGCCTTCTTCAGAACCCTATGTTATTTTACAAATATAGTGGATATTTATTTTGTAGCTAAAAATGTATGCACTAGACTAGATACTAGAGATAAAAAATGAATAAGAAAGACTTAAGGAATAAGAAATACACACAAATATGCACCCACAAATATAAGAAACATACATACACGTGTGTGAATATGTGTGTAGACAGAAAAATAGAGTTGGGTGTTTTTTGAGACAGGATCTCCCTCTGTCACCCAGGCTGGAGTGCAATGTTGCAATCATGGCTCACTGCAGCCTTGACCTCCAAGGCTCAAGTCATCCTCCCAGCTCAGCCTCCTGAGTAGCTGGGGCAACATCCATGTGCCACCATGTCTAGCTAATGTTTTGTATTTTTTGTAGAGATGGGGGGTCTCACTTTGTTTCCCAGGCTAGTGTCAAACTCCTGAACTCAAGTGATCCACCCATCTCAGCCTCTCAAAGTCCTGGGATTAAAGGTGTGAGCCGCCTCACCCAGCCTGGAGATATATTTTTTAAGGAGCCATATACAATGCAGGAAAACAAAGGAGACACACTATTATTGTTGACATACAGATTAATATGATTCAATTCCAAAAGCAATGAAGAATCAAGCTACTCCCAAGAAAGTACTCCTTTGTTATTGAACCTAATTATTTTAGATAATCCTTCCTTGCTTCCCCTCCCCTCCCGCTCCCCCATCCCCACTCTCCCTCTCCCGCTCTTTCCCATTTAACCATTCAACAAATACTTGGTGAAGGAAAAAAAAAATCTATGTGCAATCACTAAATTTGGCAATGTTTGGTGTTAACTATAAACATAAGTCATGGTCAGTAACTTCAAGAAAGTAATACTTTAGTGCAAGGGGCAGACATAATCACGAATGTAAGATAGAATGAAGTACATGGTGCAATAGTGGCTCAAGTAAAATGCTGTGAGAATGAAGATGAAAATGATTAGTGCCCCCCAGGCAAACAGCAAGGCTGAATGGAGGAGGTGGCTTCTGAACTGTCTTTAAGGTCAGAGGACAGCGGGGAAAGACAAAAGGCTAAGGAGGAAGAGATTTTATTCTGAGTGTACAGAATGAGGAAGGAGTGGAGGTAGAAGAGTTTATGATTTCTTTAGAAAATAACTCAATGCGACCAGAGGACAGGTTCTTGAAGAATGCAGAGAAAAAGAGCTAAAAGTAGAGATCACAGAGACCCTGAAACACCAAGAATGGGCCTTTATTCTGTTGAGCAGCTATTAAAGGTTTCTGAGAATAAATGTGACTTGACCCTCATTTTAGGAAAGTTGTTGGTGGCAGTGTTACTAAAAGTTTGCAGAGGAGTTACAGGAAGCTTGTGCAGTGGCTAAAGCAGTCACTCAGGCCAGAAATGTTCAGTTCACACCTCCAGGTTCATGCTCTGCAGTCCACAAATACATGGTTAGTTGATTGTTCTTGGAGCCAGACACTACAGGGCATTGTAAAAACACAGAACAGGCCAGGTGCGGTGGCTCACGCCTGTAATCCCAGCACTTTGGGAGGCTGAGGCGGGTGGATCACGAGGTCAGGCATTCGAGACCAGCCTGGCCAGCATAGTGAAACCCCGCCTCTACTAAAAATACAAAAAATTAGCCGGGTGTGGTGGCGGGCACCAGTAATCCCAGCTACTCTGGAGCCTGAGGCAGGAGAATTGCTTGAACCCGGGAGGCAGAGGTTGCAGTGAGCCGAGATCGAGCCATTGCACTCCAGCCTAGGCAAAAAGAGTGAAACTCTGTCTCAAAAAAAAAAAAAAAAAAAAAACCTTAAACAATCATTATGATATCCTCTTTCTTCCTCTACACAAATATGGTAGTTTGAAATATTCTGTTCGAAGAAAATTGCTTTTATTAAAGACAACGATTGGTTTTGCCATTTAATTAGCTCAAATCCCGCCAATCAGACCTTCTGATAGGCAACAGTGAATCTGTGCTGCCATATTGAGTTGACATAATTCAAGACAACAGAAACGAAGCATCATGTTTAAATGAGTCAGCACAGCTTGACATTTTGATCAGGCAGAAAGTAGATCAAGGACCTCCGTGACTAATGTTATAGATTCCTAGCACCTGAGGTTCATGGGCAGAACACTGGTCAGTGATAACAGCTTCTACTAGGAAGGAGAAACTTGTATCCACCCTGCAGGGAGGGTATTATCATCCCCGTTTTAGAGGTGGGCTGCTTGAGCCCTAGGGAGATTTCAGTGTATGGACAAGGTCATGGGGCAGATGTGTCTCCAGGACTGTCTAACTTTGAAGTCCTCATCCTTTTCACTACATCATACAACAGAGAAGAGAAACTTGGAAGAAGCACTACAGTCTTAAATGGGAAGAATATTTAAAAGTAAATTAACTTGATCTCAACAATTTTCTCCAAAAGCTTTATTTTGCAAAGCCACAGTTTAAGCAGCTCACTCCCTGGGCGTCATGGTAGTGTCTGGCTCTCAGAAACTGCTGGTCAGAAAGGCACAGTAAAAGCAACTGCTCCTCCAGCATGATCAACTTACGCACGGATTCCCCACTCATGCATGGCTGCAGACGTTTGCCGCTGTTAACTGAGACTTCTGCATGGTTCGTGGGACTCCCTATGGAGCTGGGGTAGGAGACGGGAGTGTTGTACAAAGTGCTACCAGCAATGGAGGTGAAGGAGCAAGTTACTTGTGGCCCCAAAATAATAATTTTAGAGATAAGCCCTAAGGGTGAGATGAAGTTACTATTTTATCACCCTGTTTTATCTTATCCTATTTTATTTTGAGACAGAGTCTTGCTCTGTCGCCCAGGCTGGAGTGCAGTGGCATGATCTCAGCTCACTACAACCTCCGCCTCCCAGGTGCAAGCAATTCTCCTGCCTAAGCCTCCCGAGTAGCTGGGATTACAGGCACCTGCCACCATGCCCGGCTAATTTTTGTATTTTCAGTACAGACAGGGTTTCCCCCTGTTGGCCAGGCTGGATTCGAACTCCTGACCTCAAGTGATCTGCCCTCCTCGGCCTCCCAAAGTGCTGGGATTACAGGCGTAAGCCACCGTGCCCGGTCCCTACTTTATTTTTTGAAACAGGGTCTCCCTCTGTCACCCAGGCTGGAATGTAGTGGCGCAATGATAGCTCACTGCAACGTTGAACTTCTGGGCTCAGGCAAACCTCCCACCTCAACCTCTTGAGTAGCTGGGACTACAGGTGCACCACTATGCCTGGCTAATTTTTTGAAAAGGGTTTTTTTGTTTTTGTTTTTGTTTTTTTTGCTGGTCTCAAACTCCTGGCCTCAAGCAATCCTCTCCCACCTGAGCCTCCAAAAGTGCTGGGATTACAAGTGTGAGCCATGGGCCTTGCCTGAAATAACATTAAATGTCCATTCAAAGTCCTTGCTAAGTTTTCTCTGCTACAACATGGTATTTGGTATGTGCTAGGCATACAACCTGGAGAACCAGCTTTGAGGCTTTCCTGATGGAAAGGTCTGTATTCCAGGCAGTCAAGAAAGCCGCACAATTCTAGGACCAACAGGAGCCACCCTTCTAAATTTCAAACACTCAAGTCAGGCTGGGACTTTGCACCTTCCTTCAGGGAGAGGGATGTGCTCTGTCTTTGAATGTTGAAATTTACTTTTTTCTAATCAAAAGGAAAGTAAGGAAAGAAAAGCTGCACACAGGTTTTCTAGATGAACTAGCTAACTGCCAGCAGCTGTGATCTCTGTGGGTGAAGGCTGCAACGCAAGGAGCTGGGAACAGGAGAGGAGACGCTCTCCCTCCCATTTCCCCGGGGCAGCTCCCCGTCTCACATGCTGTGGGAGAAGATGCCAGAGAGGTTGTCAATGGAAAGGCAAAGAAATTGACAACGGAGGGCAAAGAAGTCTGCGACTACACAAGGAAGCCACAGCCACCAAAACTCTCACAAAGAAATACATTTTCCTGGCATGACCACAGCTACTACCCAAACCTCCCACTGAAACTGTTTGCAGAAAGGTTTTTTTAAAGACTGAACAAAACTAGGATTCTGTAAATACATGATTAAAAACAAACAAAATAAGCTGTATTTCTATAGAAAAACAGGTGATCTGCCTGCCTTGGCCTCCCAAAGTGCTGCGATTACAGGCGTGAGCCGCTGCACCTGGCCTCATGCACACAATGCTTCCCAGGATTATGGTCGGCTGAGTTCTGGGACGTGCAAGCAGTGTAGAAGCGTTACCTCTCATCACATGTGGGGGTGGCGTGGACTCTAGCACCTGAGATCCTTGTGCCAGCATGGAGATCACGGGCGTTGGTGAAGGATTGGCCCAAGACGGGGTGGAATCTGGAACCACTTTGCTGCCGTAATACAGGGCCCCTGCGTAGACAAACCTGCATCTGTTAGTTTCTAGATTTACGTTTCCACGGAAATTGCTCACCATGTCAAGAATCTGTTTTATGCACCCCCAGGTATTGTCAGCTTAGGTTTTTCTCCTCTGTTTTTATTCCAGAGTTCTCTCGGGCTCCCTCTGTCATGTTGCTGAGGGAGGAGGCCTGTGATACAGTTCTCTCTGGAGTCTGGAACCTGAGCAAGGGTGGCAGTGGGAGGAACCGCTTTATAGGGCCGGGGAAGGGCCCCGTGACTCCAGTGCAGGCCGGGGAGCGAAGTCTGGGAGAAGGCCCAGAATATAATATATAATATTATATAGAATATAATATATAATATTATATAGAATATAATATATAATATTATATAGAATATAATATATAATATTATATAGAATATAATATATAATATTTTATAGAATATAATATATAATATATAGAATATAATATATAATATATAGAATATAATATATAATATATAGAATATAATATATAATATATAGAATATAATATATAATATATAGAATATAATATATAATATATAGAATATAATATATAATATATAGAATATAATATATAATATATAGAATATAATATATAATATATAGAATATAATATATAATATATAGAATATAATATATAATATATAGAATATAATATATAATATATAGAATATAATATATAATATATAGAATATAATATATAATATATAGAATATAATATATAATATATAGAATATAATATATAATATATAGAATATAATATATAATATATAGAATATAATATAGAATATTATATAGAATATAATATAGAATATTATATAGAATATAATATAGAATATTATATAGAATATAATATAGAATATTATATAGAATATAATATAGAATATTATATAGAATATAATATAGAATATTATATAGAATATAATATAGAAAATATAGAATATAATATAGAATATAATATAGAATATTCTATAGAATATAGAATATAATATAGAATATTCTATAGAATATAGAATATAATATAGAATATAGAATTTAATATATAATATTATATAGAATACATAATATATATTATATAGAATACATAGTATATAATATATAGAATACAAAATATATATAATTATATATTACAGATAATATAATTATAATTATACGTTATCTGTTATATATATATATACACGTGTATATATATATATATATATATGAGATATATACACGTGTGTGTATATATCATATATGTATATATGTTTCGGTAGAACCAGTCCCCAAGAAAGAGAAAAGAAAGAGACGTATAAACCTGAGGTCTCCTAGCCCTGGGTGTGTGCACCCTCGGGGGTG